>NT_187552.1:0-197536 GCF_000001405.40 Homo sapiens
TCCCGCCTTTGTTCTCGGGTCGCCCCTCTCGCTGGTGGCGCTCCGAGAGAGCAGCGGAGCCACCTGCCCAGGCCACGCTTCCCCGAGCATCCGCAGCTGCACCCGGGGGCTGTCGGCGCCCGCCCCGGAGCGTGCGGGAGGCACAGCGGGAAGAAGTCGCTGAGATTCGGCCCTCGTGGCTTTGCGTGCCCGCGTGGTTGATGCCTCCGCCGAGAACGCGGTCGGCCGGGAGCCGGGGAGGAGCGTGGACGCCGGCCTGGCAGGTACCCCCGCGAGAACGTGGGAGCCGGTGTATTTCAGCTGCATTTATTACTGATCTCGGGCTGCACCAGGGCACTTGTAGGACCGCACTAAAAACAGCGGAAAGTGAGGAGCCAAGCCTGGGTCCGGGGCGGCCCGCCGTACAGCTGGCCTCACGGATTCCACTGCCTGCGCCTGCAGATGACTTGTTCTGGAGAGTAGAGAATGTTCTCGGATTTAAAGTACAATCCGGTTTCCTTTCCATTCATTATAGTTGCCTACACTCAACAAACAAAAGTTGGGAAAGATAAAGGGATTATTCTAGCGCGTCACATTGACAAACACCGACGTTAACACGCTCAGTCCAGCCTGACTCACTTGCCTCAGGTCAGAGAGGTCACCACTGACGACGCCGGGCCCTCAAGCCGATCCTAATCCAGCTTGGTTCTCTCAGCCTCAGCCAGACCATCCGTTCTTGCCTCTGTCCCACCACGTGCAGGTGTAAGCTTCCGCCGCACTTCTTGTCTGAATCTGCCAAGAAGAAACTGCATCTTTCAGCTAAATTCTTTTCACTGATCAGGGTAGAGTTTAGCGGTTTTTTTTTTAAGAAAAAAAACAAAAACAAAAAAAAACTCTTAAGCTATTTGGTACTCCTCTCCCTCCGGGATTCTGTCTCTAGATTGTGAAAGCTGTCAGAGAATGGAGTCAGGGAAAGCCGTGATGGGAAAGTTCTCACTAATAATTGCCTGATATAAAGAATTAGCACAAAAGACTGCCAAAACCACAACCTTGCACAAAGGCCACAAAACTACACAAAAAAATGCTTCAAGGACATTTGCGCAGCAACTGCCTGTCCAACCTTGGACTGGCCATCCCCTTTGTTACTGATCTTTGTAGCCAAGGATAATTGTTTCAAAACAACTTACGTAATCCTCCTCGTTTTTCCTTTTAAACCCCTTATCTTCCTTTACCTCCCTGAATACACCTATAGTTTACTATGACACCATATTCTACATTGCAATGCCCACTTTCAAATAAATTTGTCATGTTTGGCAAACCTGTCTGTTATTTAGGTTGACAAGATCAAATGCAAATTTATTCTGGAGTCAACAAATAACTGATTCAGTCTTCCAATGTGCAAGGCAAAGAAGAATATTAAGGAGACACTGTATAGATTAGATCCCTGCCTATAGGCAGCTTCAACACTAATACAATATGGTACGAATATATAATTGTACTTTAAGGCAGCTTAGGTGGGAAAACAACTAGCAACTAAAAAAAAAAATGGAGTTTACTACCAACTAAAAAAAATGGAGGTTTCAAGGTTGACCTAGAATTTGAAAACTGCTTTAAAGACAGGTAAGAAAGACACAGGTAGATGTGCAATGGAAGTAGAAATTGGGTTTCAAGCCCCAAACAGGCTGAGGGGTGGGAAAATAGACATATTCAGGTACATCAATCGTTCCAGTTTGGCATAAGAATGAGATAAATGAAGATGGATTCTAGGAGTTAAGGATGAAATATGTAGGGAGGTACTATGATGTAATGGAGAGAACAAAGATTTCAAGTTAAGACTTTGGTTTAAATCCCAGCTGTGCCTCTTATTAGCTGTGTGATCAAAGGTAAATTAGTTAATCTCTCTGACCCTCCATTTCCTCATTTGTATGATAACAATAATGTCCAATTATTCCACAAATATTTTATGGCAAGCCAAGTATTAACTAAGAACTATGTTAAATGATGAAGATATAAAAAAACCATTTATTCATTCATTCATCAAATGAATGCCTTACTGTTTACTAAGTTACACCCTGAGTTAGGCCCTGGAAATACTGATAAGGGGGAAAAAAGCATGAAACCGTATGAGACCACTTAGATTATGCAGATATACGTGAAAATAAGGCCCAAGACCAAGAAGTCCAAAGGTACTCAACTTGTGGAAGTAAGATAGAGAAGGAAAAAAAAGAAAACTAAGTGTAAAGTACTGTAAACTGAAAGGAGAGAGTGTTTTAAAAGAGGGACTGGTCAGCTCTCCTAATGGAGAAGTTAGTAAGGTGGCAGAGAAGAATACATTGTATTTATCAACCTGGAGGTAATTAACTGTCTTGACTGTTTCAAGCTATTTCAGCAAAGTGGTGGTTTCAGAAACTAAATTAAAGCAGATTAAGGGAGGAATGGAAGCCTAGGAATTGGAGCCAGAGTATAGACAACTCTTCTGTGTAGTTTTATTATAAAAAGTAATGGAGAAAGAGAGTATCTGGAGAGGTGGTAGGGATGTTTTTAAGATGGAAGACATTAGCACATGTTGGTATACTGAAAAGAATGACTGAGTAGGAAGGCAGAAAACCATGATTGAGCAGAGAGAGGAAATGCTACTGGAAGGCAGCTTGTGAGAAGGCAAGGAAAAATGGGCTCCAGAGCACAGGTATTAGACAGGAAGCAGAATCCACCCAATTTAACAGGAAAGACAGAAGGTGGTCGCAGCTGCAAGCAGGTGAGTGGAAAACTTGAAGGTTTGTTTTTTTGTTTTTTTGTTTTTTTTTGAGACAGAGACTCACTCTGTTGCCCAGGTTGGAGTGCAGTGGCCTGATCTCGGCTCACTGCAAGCTCCACCTCCTGGGTTCACGCCATTCTCCTGCCTCAGCCTCCCAAGTAGCTGGGACTACAGGTGCCCGCTACCACACCTGGCTAATTTTTTGTATTTTTAGTAGAGACGGAGTTTCACCATGTTAGCCAGGATGGTCTCGATCTCCTGACCTCATGATCTGCCTGCCTCGGCCTCCCAAAGTGCTGGGATTACAGGCGTGAGCCACTGCACCCAGCCAACTTGAAGGATTTTTATTTCTGATATATTTTCTTTCCTTCATGAAATATAAAGGGAAAATCAGCTGACAGTTGTGTAGGGGAGAGAGATACAGAAGATCTGAGGAAGAAGGAGGTGTGTCAGCAGGAAAGCAAAGTTTCCAGGATGCCAAGTGTTTTGCCTTCTTGAGAGTTATGGTCATGAATTTAAAGTGAAACTACTCGGTCTGGCTTTGTCAGGTTCTCAGTCAAGTTTACCTACTTGGATTCAGGCTTGGACAAAGTGGATAATGGGGTTCATTCAGGAAGGGGTTTTCCAGGTGAGGAAGAGGGACAAAGAAATTGAAGTCTGTTTGTAAAGGAGTGATTATAATGATGAGCCATGATATCTAAGCTGGACAAGGTAGGAAATTTGAGGGCTATAAATGGTGAAAAAAGCCAATGAACTGGAGATTTCAATAAGATTAGAGAATGGCTGTCTTCGGGGTACTAGAGGTGGTGAGCTGGAAGGACAGGAAATGATTGCATGAGAATAACTTGCTTGAAATAAAGATTTCAGAAGTCATACTAATATTGGCGACAGCAAAGTCTAGAGGGGTAAAAGGCAACTGAATGTGAGTTGGTTAAGGAATTAGAAAGCAT
The DNA here is from genome assembly GCF_000001405.40 of Homo sapiens. Lineage (NCBI taxonomy): Eukaryota > Metazoa > Chordata > Mammalia > Primates > Hominidae > Homo > Homo sapiens. The sequence continues at coordinate 3,685 of NT_187552.1, forward strand.
ACAGCCAGTCCTAGCTTGGCATGGTAGAACATGACTAGAAAAATGACCATGGAAGTTGAAATTGTGCAAAGTGATCTTAATAATCAAAGAGAAAAATTAAAATTGTTCTGTGACACTTAAGAACTTTTGTTGAAACATCAAAAACTCTGTTACTGCTACGTAGACATATCAGGAATTTTTTAAATTGTAAAACTAATTTATTTAGTATGCCATAATTTAAAACATGAGAAACATGGAGAATCAGTCTTTATTCTTTGTGAAAAACAAAAGAAAACAAAACAACTTACCAATAGTAGTGTGAACTGTTTGCCTCTTCTCATACTATTAATCTTCTGTCTTGAAAAATTGTTATTCTGCATTCTAAGTTTAGATTAGCTTCCAACATTTTATCTTTGCATTTTCAATCTTGTGAACTATTCTCAGGAATTCTTTAATACAAAGTGTATCAGCAACACTTCCTGTGGACCTCTTCACCCTTTTGTCACAGCCACTTTAATCTCTTAACATTAATCAATTCATAAAATGATGAAACCAGAATTTACTGGCTGAATAAGGTTTTTATTTAGTCTCTTTGTAATTATCATTTTCTTTCAACAAGACAACCAACTTCAACACTTCACCCGAATGCTAGCCAGACTGATTGGGAAAAAATTTAAATTTATTACAGTCTTCAGTCAAAAGCAGGAAAAAGTCTTTATATCGGCCATAATTTGCATTCTCTTTCTAGTGCAATTTAAACCAAAAGATCCTGAAGCAACTTACCTTGTTTTTTCTACTTACTGAACTTTTTCTCTATGGCTTCTATGGTGCCTTTTGTGTAGGCCGAGGTCTCATCCTATCTTTGCTTTGCTTTTGTCATTTTCAAATTCCCTAATCACATCTAATTTCATTTCTGCATTATTATTTTTTTATTTGCTGTACTTTCATCTTTCTTGGCCAATTCCCTTTTAATGATCCATTTTTGTAAAATATCATGTTAGTTTATCACTGGGAATCAAGGAAGCTATACAACTACATGCTTTGCTGCTTGTAAACTGAAAAACTGAGTAACAGTTGTGCAGTGACCAATAACTGACAGACTCTGAAAGAAGGATTGTGATATCTGCTATGGACTGAATGTTTGTGCCTTACCTGCAAATTCATAAATTGAAGCCCTAATCCCCAGTGTGATGGTATTTGGAAGTGAGAACTTTGGGAGGTGATTAGATTTACATGAGGTCACGAGAGCAGAGTCCCCATGATGGGGATTAATATCCTTTCAAAAAGAAGAAGAGATACAAGATTCATATTCCTTCTCTTTCTCTCTCCCCTGCCCCCACCCCCACCAAGGAAAGACCAGGTAAGGACATAACCAGGAAGAGGGCCCTCACCAAGAACCACCATGTTGGCACCCTGATCTCAGACTTTCAGCCTCTAGAACCTCAATAAAAAATATTTGTTTAAGCAACCCAGTCTAAGGCATTTAATTATATTAGCCCAAGCTAAGACAGTGCCCATCTGTTATTTACATAGTGATCTGTGAACTGAAGAGCTAGCTGTGAATTTTCTTCTTTATGCAATTCCTCACATAAAGTTAATATGCAATCATAATTGAAATGTGAACCACCTTGTTGGGGAACTGGTATTATTTAACTAAACCACAGTAAATGAAATTTGCTTGAATATTCTGAAAGTGAAAATTGCACAGTGCATACTAGAACTGTGCAAAGTGAGGACTGCCTTGTTTTGGATGGCTCATCTATGTGGATGTTGAAGTCCCAAGGAAAGATGACAGGAGTTGGGTGGGGATGAAGATTATATAATCCAGTAGCTCAAGTCTTCAAGTGATGGGGAGGAATAAGCCAGGAACTACAGGCAGCAGAAATCAACAGGTAAAAGATTATATATTCAGATAGCATACATTTTCAGGAGCCAGAATTTTTTTTAAGGTCAAAGGGGTTACCTACGCTAACTCCTGGCTGTAAGTCATCAAAGATTGAGAGGAAAAAAACAGCCTTCATTTGAGAGGGCTGCAGTGGCACTCCTCTTCAGGGAAAAGTCAGATTGCTTTTAAGGAAAGGAACTCAAAATGCATGTGGAAGAGAGGTTGGGAATATAGAGGAGCCTGATGAACCATATAAAGAAAGTTCCGGCCGGGCGCGGTGGCTCACGCCTGTAATCCCAGCACTTTGGGAGGCCGAGGCGGGCGGATGGATCACGAAGTCAGGAGATCGAGACCATCCTGGCTAACACAGTGAAACCCCATCTCTACTAAAAATACAAAAAATTAGCCGGGCATGGTGGCAGGCGCCTGTAGTCCCAGCTACTCAGGAGGCTGAGGCATGAGAATGGTGTGAACCTGGGAGGTGGAGCTTGCAGTGAGCCGATGGACTGAAGGAAATGTTTATGTGATATTTTATGTGAGTGATCTTCACAGTGGGCAAGTGGTTCAAAAGTTATGTATCTGAATACTTAGCATGATAGTCTAGTGGGGTCAGGTGATACTACCCTTTTATAGGATCGTGGTGAAGTACAGCCTAGGTGGAGGAGCCTAGGGGAAAGAGGCTGATGATAGCAGGGCAGAGGTTTTCTTGGTACAGGTCTCAACATAGCTTATTGGGGAAGAAAAGGAGGAAAGGAGTTTTATGTTAGAGGAAAGGCAATAATAGAAGATATTATGGAGGACAAAGGGGGATATCTCACCCAATCTGGAGAAGCAGTGAGAGAGACGTTGGATTGACAGTGAGAAGTGTTGCTAGGATCTGAGATCTTTATAATGCACCTGGAATCCACTTAACCTCAGAAAATAGCAGAGTATTACATTATGGACAATCTAGAACCTTAAGAGTAGGCAGAAGAATTGGTATTCACTCATAAGGCAATCAAGAGCCACTGAGGGGTTTTGAGGCAAAGACTGATACAAAGTTATGCTTCCAAGATGAAAACTCCATCAGTTTTATGTGTAAGGTATGGAGATGAGACGTAAGGCAAAGAAAATAGGCCCATTGGGTTTTCTCCCTGCCTCATTCTTGGAAGCATTTACTAGAGGTGCAGTTGCTGAATACCAGCCCCCCAATACAAAAGAAGTTCAGTGAAGTCAGGGGACTTGTCTGTTTTTTTCACCACAATACAATCTGCATCTCCAACAGTGCCTAGAACATAGTAGATGCATGATTCTGTTGAACAAAAAAATAATAAATGAATCAATGAAATAAAGGGGCTATTGAAACAGATTTGAGAGAAGTGAGTACCTAGGCTACAGATATAACAAATGGAAAATTGAAGCTATTTTGAGCCACTTCAAAAAATTAAAATCTATAGAATTTAACAACTAAGTATATATGGGGTTTTACAGAAGGGAAAGAGAAAGAACAGAACTAAAGGTAATTTGGATGTGTCAGACCTAATAAGAATAAGTGTGCATAAGTGCTTGATTACATATTATTTACTTTAATTCACATGCAAACCTTAGGAAAAAGGTATAATTCTCATTTTACAAACAAGTCTATCTATGAGGCAGTCAACTCAATTACCAGGTAGTATATTTTGCAATTAATTCATCCTGACAAGTTCATCAGGAAGGCAAATTGCATGATATGACATATTTCATAGGTTATTACTAATTTTTTCTGTGGTCAAGATTAGCATCAATAGCTCCTTTTAAAGAGGTTTTTGGCTACAACTATCATGTATATTCTCTGTATAATGGTGGAGTGATTTTTTTTTCACCAAGCATATTTTTCTTTTATTATGAAAGAACAGTTGTTCTGATATATAGTTGCCAGAAGGAAACTCTCAGGGAATTTTAGTTTACTAATAGAATTGGTAGAAATTGTAAGAAAATGATCAAAATATCTTTTTATTTCTTCTTAAAAAAATGGGATACATGTGCAGAATGTCCAGATTTGTTACATAGGTATACATGTGCCGTGGTGGTTTGCTGCATCTGTTGACCCATCCTCTAAGTTCCCTCCCCTCCACTCTCACCCCCAACAGGCCCTGGTGTGTGTTGTTCCCCTCTCTTGTGTCCATGTGTTCTCAATGTTCAACTCCCACTTATGAGTGAGAACATGTGATGTTTTTTTCTCCTGTGTTAGTTTGCTGAGGATGATAGCTTCCAGCTTCATCCATGTCCCTGCAAAGGACATGATCTCATTCCTTTTTATGGCTGCATAGTATACCATGGTGTATATGTACCACATTTTCTTTATCCAGTCTATCATTGATGGGCATTTAGGTTAGTTCCATGTCTTTGCTATTGTGAATAGTGCTGAAATAAACATACATGTGCATGTGTCTTCATAGTAGAATGATTTATATTCCTTTGGGTATATACCCAGTAATGGAATTGCTGGGTCAAATGGTATTTCTGGTTCTAGATCCTTGAGGAATTGCCATACTGTCTTCCACAATGGTTGAACTAATTTACATTCTCACCAACAGTGTAAAAGTGTTCCTATTTCTCTACAGCCTCGCCAGCATCCATTGTTTTCGGACTTTTTAATAATCACCATTCTGACTGGTGTGAGATGGTATCTCATTGTGGTTTTGATTTGCATTTCTTTGATGATCAGTGATGTTGAGCTTTTTTTCCATATGTTTGTTGGCCACATAAATGTCTTCTTTTGAGAAATGTCTGTTCATATCCTTTGCCCACTTTTTGATGGGGTTGTTTTTTTTTTCTTGTAAATATGTTTAAGTACCTTGCAAATTATGGATATTAGACTTTTGTCAGATGGGTAGATCGCAAAAATTTTCTCCCATTCTGTAGGTTGCCAGTTCACTCTGATGATAGTTTCTTTTGCTGTACAGAAGCTCTTTAGTTTAATTACATTCCATTTGTCAATTTTGGCTTTTGTTGCAATTGCTTTTGGCATTTTTGTCATGAAGTCTTTGCCCATGCCTGTGTCCTGAATGGTATTGCCTAGGTTTTCTTCTAGAGTTTTTATGGTTTTGGGTTTTACATTTAAGTCTTTAATCCATCTTAAGTTACTTCTTGTATAAGGTGTAAGGAAGGGGTCCAGTTTCAGTTTTCTGCATATGGCTAGCCAGTTTTCCCAGCACCATTTACTGAATAGGAGATCCTTTTCCCATTGCTTATTTTTGTCAGGTTTGTCGAAGGTCAGATGGCTGTAGATGTGTGGTGTTATTTCTGAGGTCTCTGTTCTGCTCCATTGGTCTATATGTCTGTTTTGGTACCAGTACCATGCTGTTTTGGTTACTGTAGCCTTGTAGTATAGTTTGAAGTCATGTAGCATGATGCCTCCAGCTTTGTTCTTTTTGCTTAGGATTGTCTTGGCTATATAGGGTCTTCTTTGATTCTATATGAAATTTAAAATAGTTTTTTCTAATTCTGTGAAAAATATCAATGGTAGTTTCATGGGAATAACATTGAATCTATAAATTACTTTGGGCAGTGTGGCCATTTTCACAATGGTGATTCTTCCTATCCCTGAGGATGGAATGTTTTCCCCTTTGTTTATGTCCTCTCTTATTTCCTTGAGCAGTGGTTTGTAGTTCTTGAAGAGGTGCTTCACATCCCTTGTTATCTCTATTCCTAGGTATTTTATTCTCTTTGTAGTGAGTGTGAATGGGAGTTTATTCATGATTTGGCTCTCTGCTTACCTATTGTTGGTGTAAAGGAAAGCTTGTGATTTTTGCACATTGATTTTGTATCCTGAGACTTTGCTGTAGTTGCTTATCAGTTCCAGAAGTTTTGGGGCTGAGATGATGTGGTTTTCTAAATATAAAATCATGTCATCTGCAAACAGAGACAACTTGACTTCCTCTGCCCCTATTTGAATACCCTTTATTTCTTTCTCTTGCCTGATTGCCCTGGCCAGAACTTCCAATATTATGTTGAATAGAAGTGGTGAGAGAGGGCATCCTTGTCTTGTACTGGTTTTCCAAGGGAATGCTTCCAGCTTTTGCCCATTCAATATGATATTGGCTGTGGTTTTGTCATAAATAGCTCTTATTATTTTGAGATCTGTTCCATCAATACCTAGTTTATTGAGAGTTTTTTAACATGAAGGGATGTTGAAGTTTGTCAGCCCTATCAATCTGCATCTATTGAGATAATCATGTGGTTTTTGTCTTTGGTTCTGTTTATGAGATGGATTACATTTATTGATTTGCATATGTTGAACCAGCCTTGCATCCCAGGGATGAAGCCGACTTGATCGTGGTAGATAAGTTTTTTGATGTGCTGCTGGATTCGGTTGGCCAGTATTTTATTGAGAATTTTCACATTGATGTTCATCAGGGATATTGGCCTGAAGTTTTCTTTTTTTTTGTTGTGTCTCTTCCAGGTTTTGGTATCAGGGCGATGCTGGCTTCATAAAATGAGTTAGGGAGGATTCCCTCCTTTTCAATTGTTTGGAATAGTTTCAGAAGGAATGGTACTAGCTCCTCTTTGTATTTCTGGTAGAATTCAGCTGTGAATCCTTCTTGCCCTGGGCTTTTTTTGGTTGGTAGGCTATTAATTACTGCCTCAGTTTCAGAGCTTCTTATTGGTCTATTCAGGGATTCAACTTCTTCCTGGTTTGGTCTTGGTAGGGTGTATGCATCCAGGAATTTATCCATTTCTTCTAGATTTTCTAGTTTATTTGCATAGAGGTGTTTGTAGTATTCTCTAATGGTAATTTGTATTTCTGTGGGGTCAGTGGTGATATCCCCTTTATCATTTTTTATTGTGTCTATTTGATTCTTCTCTCTTCTTATTAATCTAGCTAGTGGTCTTTCTATTTAGTTAATTTTTTTTCAAAAAACCAGCTCCTGGATTCATGGATTTTTTGGAGGGTTTATTGTGTCTCTGTCTCCTTCAATTCTTCTCTGATGTTAGTTATTTTTTGTCTTCTGCTAGCTTTTGGATTAGTTTGCTCTTGCCTCTGTAGCTCTTTTAATTGTGATGTTAGGGTGTTGATTTGAGATCTTTCTAGCTTTCTGATGCAGGCATTTAGTGCTGTAAATTTCCCTCTTAACACTGCTTTAGCTGTGTCCCAGAGATTCTGGTATATTACCTTTGTTCTCATTGGTTTCAAATAACTTCTTGATTTTTGCCTTAGTTTCATTATTTACCCAGGAGTCATTCAGGAGCAGGTTGTTCAACTTCCATGAAATTGTGTGGTACTGAGTGAGCTTCTTAATCCTGAGTTCTAATTTGATTGCACTGTCGTCTGAAAGACTGTTTGTTATGATTTCAGTTCTTTTGCATTTGCTGAGGAGTGCTTTACTTCCAATTATATGGTTGATTTTAGCATAAGTGCCATATGGCACTGGAAAGAATGTATATTCTGTTGATTTGGAGTAGAAAGGTCTGTAGACGTCTACTAGGTCCACTTGATCCAGAGCTGAGTTCCAAGTCCTGAATATCCTTGTTAATTTTCTGTCTCATTGATCTGTCTAATACTGACAGTGGGGTGTTAAGGTCTCTCACTATCACTGTGTGGGAGTCTAAGTCTCTTTGTAGGTCTCTAAGCATATGTTTTATGAATTTGAGTGCTCCAGTATTGGGTACATATATATTCAGAATAGTTAGCTCTTCTTGTTGAATTGTTCCCTTTACCATTACATAGTGCCCTTCTTTTTTGATCTTTGTTGGTTTAAAGTCTGTTTTGACAGAGACTAGGATTGCAACCCCTGTTTTGTTGTTGTTGTTGTTGTTTCGTTTTTTTGTTTGTTTTTTTTTTTGCTTTCCATTTGCTTGGTAAATTTTCCTCCTTCCCTTTATTTTGAGCCTGTGTGTCTTTGCATGTAAGATGGGTCTCCTGAATACAGTACACTGACAGGTGTTGACTCGTTATCCAATTTGCCTGTCTGTGTCTTTTAATTGGTGGCATTCAGCCCATTTACATTTAAGGTTAGTATTGTTATATGTGAATTTGATCCTGTCATAATGCTATTTGATTATTTTGCACACTAGTTGATCCAGTTTCTTCATAGTGTCATTGGTCTTTATATTTTGGTGTGTTTTTGCAGTGGCTGCTACCAGTTTTTCCTTTCCATATTTAGTGCTTCTTTCAGGAGCTGTTGCAGAGCAGGCCTGGTGGTAACAAAATCCCTCAGCATTTGCTTGTCTGGAAAGGATTTTATTTCTCCTTCGCTTATGAAGCTTAGTTTGGCTGGATATGAAATTCTGGGTTGAAAATTATTTTCTTTAAGAATGTTGAATATTGACCCTCAATCTCTTCTGGCTTATAGAGTTTCTGTGAGATGTCGGCTGTTAGTCTGATGGGCTTCCCTTTGTATGTGACCTGGCCTTTCTCTCTGGCTGCCCTTAACAGGTTTTCCTTCATTTTAACTTCAGAGAATCTGGCAATTATGTGTCTTGGGGTTGATCTTCTCATGGAGTATCTTAATGGTGTTGTCTGTATTTTCTGAATTTACATGTTGGCCTGTCTTCCTAGGTTGGGGAAGTTTTCCTAGATAATATCCTGAAGTGTGTTTTCTAGCTTGTTTCCATTCTCCCCATCTCCTTCTGCTACTCCAATCAATCGTAGGTTTGGCCTTTTTATGAAGTCCCATATTTCTTGGAGGCTTTGTTCATTCCTTTTCATTCTTTTTTCTCTATTCTTGTCTGTATATCTTATTTCAGTAAGGTGGTCTTCAAACTCTGATATCCTTTCTTCCACTTGGTCGATTCTGCTGTTGATACTTGTGTATGCTTCACGAAGTTCTCATGCTGTGTTTTTCAGCTCCATCAGGTTGGTTATGTTCTTCTCTAAGCTGGTTATTCTAGTTAGCAATTGCTCTAACTTTTTATGAAGGTTCTTAGCTTCTTTCCATTGGGTTAGAACATGCTCCATTAGTTGATCATAATTTTTTTATTACACATCTTCTGAAGTCTACTTCTGTCAATTCATCCCTCTGATCCTCCGTCCAGTTCTGTGCCCTTGATGGAGAGACACTGTGATCATGTGGAGGAAAAGAGGCACTCTGGCCTTTTGGGTTTTCAGCATTTTTTTCATTGATTCTTTCTTATCTTCATGAGTTTGTCTAGTTTTGGTCTTTGAGGCTGCTGACCCTTAGATGGGGTTTTTGTGGGGGCCTTTTTTGTTGTTGTTGTTGTCATTTTCTGCTTCTTTGTTTTTCTTTAAATAGGCCCCTTTTCTGTAGGGCTGCTGCAGTTTGCTGGGGTGAATGGCCCTACTCATCTGATTTGCTCTTATACCTGGAGATGTCACTCAAGGAAGCTGGAAAGCAGCAAAGATGGGTGCCTGCTCCTTTTTCTGGGACCTCTGACCTTGAGGGGCACCAGCCTGATGCCAGTAGGATCACTCCTGTATAGGGTATCTGACAACCCCTGTTGGAGGGTCTCACCCAGTTGGGTGACACAGGGAGCAGGACCCATCTAATGAAGCAATTTGTCCCTTAGTAGAGAGGGTATGTTTCACTGGGGGAAACCCACTTGTCTGGGCTGCCTGGATTACTCAGAACTACCAGGAGGAGAGGCTAAGCCTGCTGGTCCACAGAGACTGCAGCCACCCCTCCCACTAGGGTCTCAGGCCCAGGGAGATCCAAATTCTGTCCCTGAGCCTCTGGCTGGAGTTATTGGAGATCCTGCAGGAAAGCCACTGAGGAAGGATGGGTCAGAGTTAGACCTGAAGAGGCACTCTGGCCGCAGACTGCCACAGCTGGTGTGTTGGGCTGTGGGGACAAGTCATGGGACCAAGCTGTCCAGCCTGCCTGGCTCCAGCAGGGGAAAAGCGCAGCCTGGAACTATAGAAATGGGTGCTGCCCTTCCCCTACCCAGGGGGCTTAGCATGTTAGGCAGTTGCAAGTCCCAGTGCTGGCTGCTGCCCCTCCCACAAGGAGTTCAAATGGCTTAGACATCAGGCAGCTGCAGCCAGTGCTGGCCACCCTTCCTCATGGGAATTGGGTAAGCTTAAGCAGATTCCAGCTGAGAGGCTGTACGAATCTGCGCGTTCCAGGGTTGTGATGCTAGCCCCAGTGGCGTGGGTTTGCAAGTGGAATCTTCTGATCTGTGGGTTGCACAGTTCCATGGAAAAACAACAGTTTCCCTGGCTGGGTAGCACTCTTACTCACCACCTCCCCTGGCTTGGGGGAAGGGGGTTCCCCTTCCCCATGTGGCTCTCAGGTGGGCTGCCACACCACACTGCTCTTCCTTCTCTGTGTGGGTAATGCCAGCCTTCTAGTCAATTTTGATGAGAGAACCTGGATACCTTGGTTGCTGGTGAAGGATTCACATGCTTATGCTTTTTTTCCCATAGGAGCCTCCTACATGGTGCTGCTTCTAGTCGGCCGTCTTGGCCCCACCCCTAGTTTTGCATGGCTGGGAGGCCTCAGGAAACTTAAAATCATGGCGCAAGGCAAAGGGAAAGCAACGCACCTTCTTCACAAGGCAGCAGGAGGGAGCTGGAGTGATTTTCTAAGAATAATTCTGGCCAAACTTTCATGCACTCCCGCAGCCAAACTCCATTTGGATCTATTCAGGCAGGAATCATATTTCAGCTCCTTAACTCTCATAAGTGGAAACTGACACCAACTCATTATAAAACCTAAGTGGAAAAAAAAACCCTTCTCTGCCATTTTTATCTCCTTGTTTATAGATAATTCAACTAATAGGTATTTTTACTTGTCAATATTGACATGGTTGTTTTCAGTTCTGGTTGTAATGATGAAAATCATACTGATTATCACAGGTATTGCTTGCCTCCCACAAGTGCACACCCTGCCTCCCTGCTAGAAGAGTCCCAATTTGTACACTGGATCCACAATTTTCTCCTTTTTTTTTTTTTTTTTTTTAAGAGATGGAGTCTTGCCATGTTGCTCAGGCTGGTCTCAAATTCCTGGGCTAGAGCAATCCTCCCACCCTGGCCTTCCCATGTGCTGGGATTATAGGAGTGAGCCACTGTGGCTGGCAAATAGCCACACTTTTCACATGATCTCACGCTTCAGAAAAGGTAGGCTCCAGCCCCAATCTTAAGGAGGGAATTACAACTGGTCTAGTCATAGGAACATGATTAAATTCTGTCAAGCAAAATGAATGTACGTGGAAGTCTGTGGGGAGAATGGGAAGTTGGAGAGAACCTGGATCCTTGATCAAATCCCTGGGAAATAAAATTTTCCTCATTTCTTTAAACAATTAATATGAATTTTCAGTTCTTGCATCTGAAAAAAAGATCCTAGAAGGCTCACAGAGCCTAACAGAGCCTAATAGATTAGTAAATTGACTACACACTTGTAAGCAGTTTGGCTGGAGCGGGAGGATATTAGGGAATTATGAAATATAATAACATCTTTCTTTCAAACTTGGTAATTCCTTTCAAAACAATGAATACAAAGTATTAAAATATCATTAGAAATTTCCAAAATCTATCTTAACATCTACTGAATTTGATACTTTACAAGGTTGCATTTTAATTTCCTGTAGCAAATTATCATTTTCTTAAATCTTACAAAAATGATATTTTCCCTATACTCTACTATAAGAATTTGTATATACATACATATATACACACACAGACACACATGCATACACCTTTTATACTACTTTGGCATAATATTATGTTAGTTAATATAACAGTAAGTATAAATATAAAAATCTGGCTTCTACTTTGTTGTTAAAATAATACAATTGAAAGGCCTCAAATGAGAATAAGAATATAGCAAATCAGAAATATTATGAGGTTTACAAATATGTAAATTTCATTTATTTTTGAAAAGTTCGGAAGTAAACAATCCTTAGTACCTGTAATGAGCTATTCATAATAAAGGGCAAACACCAAGACCAGTGCCACGTAGGATTCTGCTTCGTGTTTAGCTGCGACCCAGCTGTCCCATGCAATGTCCCAGATCCATCTGCTGGCAATCTGTGAGAGAAATTTTGTAAAGACCAACTTTAGATTGAACATATTAAGAAGTAATTTTCAAATCTACACTAGTTTTTTAAAAATGAATGCATCAGTATCTCAGAAATTATTTTTAAGATGTAATTTGTCTGGTTTTCCCTTTCATAAAGAGCCTGGAGAATGACGCTGCCCCAGCCCATCCTTCTTCTTTACCGGAGGCTGGCCTTTCTCTAAACAGAGAGAGGCTCCCTTAGCTGTGTTTCCAGGGCCAGGAGCAGAAGGCCCCTGGGAATGGGGATGTAGTGGCTCTGCATACAGTATGACTCTGCCATGTAGTCCATGATAAGGAAGTCTTCCCACCCTTTAAAGATTTTCAGCCAAAGAGGTTTGTCAGGGCCTTGCCTTGAAATGAAGAAATGGCAGTAACTATACAAGTAGGCTGTTACGGACAATTCTAACTCCTTTTCTCTGTGTACAAACCCATATGTGATCTGATTCCAGCCCACTTCTTTGTGGAGGATCTAAAATGGCCCCAATTTTTTTTTTTTTTTGAGACATAGTTTCACTCTTATTTCCCAGGCTAGAGTGTAATGGCGTGATCTCGGTTCACTGCAACCTCCACCTCCTGAGTTCAAGTGATTCTCCTGCCTCAGCCTCCTGAGTAGCTGGGATTACAGGTGCCTGCCACCACATCCAGCTAATTTTTGTATTTTTAGTAGAGATGGGGTTTCACCATGTTGACCAAGCTGCTTGAACTCCTGACCTCAGCTGATCCACCCGCATCAGCCTCCCAAAGTGCTGGGATTACAGACATGAGCTACCACGTCTGGCCGAAAAAGGCCCAAATTCTTTATGGCTTCTCCTATTAGGAAGTTGACTTTATGTCCCCACCCTGTGAATAAGTCTTGGCCTTGTGACTTGCTATGAGTTGTAAAATATGACACTGTGAAACTTCCAAGCAAGGCCTTCAGAGGTCTTGTAGCTTCTGCTCTCACACTCGTGGAACACTATGCTGAGACCCCCATGTTATGAAAGCCCACTCAACCTATTGGAGGATGCTGGCTCACATGCAGGAGAACCCAGGTGCCCAGGCCACAGCTAGCCCACCAGTCAGACAAGTGACAGAAGCCATCTTGGACCTGCAGGCCCAGGTAAGTCATTAGAGGGCTACAAGTGCATCAGTGAGACCAGCAGAAAAGCCAAGTAGCTGACCCAGGCTGAGCTGACTCACAGAAAGTAAGCAAATACATGGCTGTTGTTATAAGATACTCAGTTCTGGGGTGGTTTGTTATACAATAATATAAGCTGAAACATTCCCCCACTGCACATCATGCCACTATCTACTAGCTACTAGTCCAGCTACACTTGTTACATATCAAGCACTCCAAGTCATCCCTGCCTCAGGATCTTTGCACTTGAAGTTTTCTCTGCTTGGAACATTCTCCCTTCTCTTTGGTACAGCTGGTTCCTTCTTATCTGAACATCAGAGGGTTCTCCCTTCTCTAAACAATCCCAAGTAGCCACTCTGCTACTCTGTCATATCCCTACCTTAATGTTCTCTTTGTAGCACTTATCATCTACAACGTCCCTATTTCTTAAGTCTGTATGTCATATGTGGTGCAGCTTCTCTTCTCCATGGGAGCCAGGACGGTTCTTTCTTGCTGACTGGCGGTTCTCTCGCCAGTACCCCTCTGCCAGTCCAGGTCCCCCTCCCCATGCTTCATCATGCAGTCCACTCCTCTATGGAACCTCTACAGATTCTTCCAAACACAGCTTTTTCTCTCTTTTCTCTCCAACTCCCACATATTCCTTACCAACTCCTTACATAATTACACAGCCTAGTGATATTATCTCTTTATTAATAAATAATGTTTATAATTACCTTGCTGTTTATTGAGGGCTCTGTGCTGGTGATTATGTTAAGGATTTTAATACAGATAATTTCATTTAATCTTCACAACAGCTCTAGGAAGCCAGTTTTATCATCACCATTTTATAGATGAAGAAACTGTGCCAAGGCCACAGCCAGCAAGTGTGGCAGAGGCAATCTGACTCCAAAACCCAGGCTGTTTACATTATCCCTATCATTTTATTTCCCTGAATTCTAAATTGTGCTGCTTTATCTCCTTAAGTAGAGTAAAATCTCCTTGAGAATCATGGTCCGTGTTTTATCATTCCTTGATTTTCCTTAGTACCTAACACCTATTAGTGCCCAAAATAAATTTACTGGTTAACTTAAATGACATTAAACTGTCAAAATTGATATGATCAAGGAACAGAATAGCAGTGCAATTTAATAAATTAGTAGTACCAAATTGCTACTTCTAGGTTTGTACTTTTCTTTCTTTTTTTTTGAGTCTGTTGCCCAGGCTGGAGTGCAGTGGAGCGAACTCGGGCCACTGCAACCTCTGCTTCCCAGTCTCAAGTGAGTCTCCTGCCTTAGCCTCCCGAGTAGCTGGGAATACAGGCACCCACCACCATGCCCAGCTAATTTTTGTATTTTTAGTAGAGACGGGGTTTCACCATGTTAGCCAGGCTGGTCTCAAACTCCTGACCTCAGGTGATCCACCTGCCTCAGCCTCCCAAACTACTGGGATTACAGGCATGAGCCAACGAACCCAGCTGGTTTGTACTTTTCAAATAATTTACAGTGAAATAAATATACTTAACAACATGATACTTTCCTTCAAAAAGTACCTCAGAATCTATGGCATGCCCTTGAGTCATCACAATAAAAATCAAATCACTAGGGAGGAGATGCCTTATAGTTCTAATTGCTAGATCCTGTATCAATGGGGTACTTACATTTATTGCTTGGCCAGTCTTTTGAATAAATAATACTTTTATAATGAACTTATAACGGTGGTACCCAAATTCTTTGACTGCTAACAGTATGCGGTCTGCCAATTCAAGTGACAAGTGAGAGAATACTTTATCATCATATTTGACATCTTTAAGACTTTCCTTTAAGAAAATTTAAGAAAAATACTTTTATTTTCAAACCAAATATTTTCTATATAAAAATTCAAGTAGAAAACATGTCTAAATAATATATATATAACTGTTTTAAAATAAATATATTCCTAACTAAATAATATTAAATAAATTTTATGCTTACCTATTTCAGTAACAATTTTGAGGAATATTTATTGGGGTTTTCAAATTATATTCAATTACTTTTCATTAGCGATACAAGCTGTAAGTTGTAATTTACTAGACTACTCTGCCAAACAGTTAATAGACACAAGGAGATTTTCTAAAGAAGACTTCTAGAAGGTAAAGGAAATTCTTAGGTAAAGGAAAGAAACCTTTTTAAATTTATACATTTATTAAAATTCAGATTTTGGTTTTCTTATACTGAAGATTACTTGGACTCAGAACCTGTACCAAGTCACTGCCCTGCTCAGTGGGCTCATATTAAAACTACTTCTTTCCAGCCCTCCCCTCTAGTCTCTCACTCCACTAATTTTTCTCTGGCCTCCAGGAAAATGAAATCAAAGATTTCTAACCATGTTTATTAATAAATTAATGTATAGCTTGAAGGAAATGGACATGGCTTGTGGACTATAAAGCATTACTCTTACAAACCAGGAGCAGAACTGGACACCTAGCAGACAGACTACACATCTCTGATTAACTAACTTGTTGTGCCTGCACCAATGACACAATACCTTCTGGTTCTAGTGACAATTGTATGAGCCAATTCCTGGAATAAATTTCTTCGTATATATAATTTCTGTTTCTCTGTAGAACCCTCATACAATACTGCTATCATATATATTTATCAACCTACTGTTAGTATCTGCTGGACTTTAGTTTCTACTGAATGAGCTTGGAATTTCTTCAATGGCTCCATTCTATATGAATTAGCAAACTTTAATTTTGCCAGGGCACTCTTCCATTCTTTACCTATATCAGCAATTGAGTCATCAAAAGGAGGCTCCACATACTGAACATTGTGAATTGACTCTCTCAGTCTTTCTCTTAAAATCTGTGTATACTGGAGGAGAAAGAGAGAGGGGAAGAGAGAAAGGCAGAAAGATTACTTTTTAAACTGTAAATGAGTTTTCAGATTAAATAAGCCTGTACAGTGGGACAGGGCTCACACAAAGCTTGGAAATTTGTTAAACAGATTTCTACAATAATGTGGTTGCTAAATCCTAGATTCACTCCTGGCTATCAATTTGGCAAAAAAAAATAGGAATACTATTTATTCTTTTATCTATACTCACAAACATATACATACAAATTGCATGCATATATTTAGAATATCCATGGATGATCCAAAGGAACTAGAAACAAGAGTGGCCTCCAGGGAGGGCAACTGAGTGGCTATGGGATGGAGATATAGGGAAAACCTTTCTTCCTCCCTACCCTGAGATTATGAAAATATTATCCTTCATTGTCTTAAAATTTTATTTTACTTCATTTACTTATTTTTAAATAATACAATTATTTAGATAGCACATTCGTAAGTCTTAAGGTGAAAAGACACCAAAAGAGCATTGATTTGATATATATATCAGTTCATGCTTTTGACATGAAACATCCATTCTGTGACATCCAATATGCATTAATGAAATATTTGCTTAGTGCCCAATATGTCCCAGATAAATGCTCTAACCTCTTAAGTTAAAGCAGTAAGCTTCATTTTATTAATAGCCAGGAATTTCTTTTTCTTGCCTAATTGCTTGGCTAGAACTTCCAGCTCTATGTTGAAAAGAAGTGGCAAAAGTGGACATCCTTGCTTTGTTACTAATATTACAGGAAAAGCTTTCAGTGTTTCCCCATCGAGTATGATGTTTGCTGTGAAGTTTTTTTTGTTTGTTTTTTTTTTTGAGACAGTCTTGCTCAGTCGCCCAGGCTGGAGTGCAGTGGCGCGATCTTGGCTCACTGCAACCTCTGCCTCCTAGGTTGAAGTTATTCTTCTGCCTCAGCCTCCTGAGTAGCTGGGACTACAGGTGCATGCCACCACTCCCAACTAATTTTTTTGTTGTTGTTGTATTTTTAGTAGAGACGGGGTTTCACCATGTTAGCCAGTATGGTCTTGATCTCCTGACCTCGTGATCCACCTGCCTTGGCCTCCCAAAATGCTAGGATTACAGACATGAGCCACTGCACCCAGCATTTGCTGTGCAGTTTTCATATAGAGCTTTTATTAGGTTGAAGTAGTTTCCTCCTATTTCTAGTTTTTGGGGTGTTTTTATAATAAAAGAGTGTTGAATTTGACATATAGTTTTCTTCATCAATTGAGATTTATCATGTGGTTTATTTCATTTAGTTAATGTGGTGTATTACCTTGATCGATTTTCATATGTTGGACCATCCTTGCATTCCAGGAACAAATTTCACTTGGCCTCGGTGTCAAATCCTTTAAATAAAATGCTGAATTCAGTTTGCTAGTATTTCGTTTAGAATTTTTGCATCAGTGTTAATACATGATACAGGTCTGTAATTTGCTTTTTTTGTAGCATCTTTGTCTGCCTTTGGTATTAGGGTAATGCTGACTTCACAGAATGAGTTAGACAGTATTCTCTCTGCTTTTATCTTCTGAAAGAGATTGTAATAATTGATATAACTTTTTCCTTAAATGCTTGGTAGAATTCACCAAGGAAATCACCTGAACCTGGTGATTTCTGCTTTGGAAGGCTGTTATTGATTCAAGTTTTAAAAACAGATATATGCTTATTCAGATTATCTATTTCTTTTTGTATGACTTTTGGGAAATTGCATCTTTCAAGGAACTGGTCCATTTCATCTAGGTTATCAAATTTCTGGGCACAGAATTGTTCATAATATTCTTTCATTATATTTATAGTGTTCATGTAATTTCTAGCAATATCCTGACTTGCATTTCTGCTATTAGTAATGTGTGTCCTCTCTTTCTTAGCCTGCATAGAGGCTTATAGATTTTATTGATCTTTTCAAAGAAAAAGCTTTTGGTTTTGTTGGTACCTGATTTCAATTTCATCAATTTCTGCTATAATTTTTATTATTTCTTTTCTTCTTGGATTTAATTTGTTCTTCTTTTTCTAGTTTCTTTGAGGCTTATTTTAGCTCTTTCTTCTTTTCTAATATATGCACACATTCAATACTATACATTTCCTTCCAACCCATTTTTGCTGCACTCTACAAATTTTGGTATGTTTTCATTTTTATTTAGCTCAAAATATTTTTTAAATTTGAGATTTCTTCTTTTGTAACAGTGTTTTTTGATGTGTAGCATTTCTAGTTCTTTCTTAGGATTTCCATTTCTATGCTTACATTGCTCATCCGTTCTTGCATGCTATTTTGTCAACTACAGCCCTTTAACATATTAATCATAGTTACTTAAATTGTGATAATTCCAACATCCCTGCCATGTCTGGTTCTGCTGCTCACTCTGTGTGTTTGTTGTTGTTTTTAGTATGCCTAATTTTTTTCCTGATAGCCAGACATGATTCACCAGGTAAAGAAACTGCTGTTAACAAGGCCTCTGGCAATGTGCTGGTAATGTATTAACGGAGAGGAAGCATTCTGTAGTTGTATGACTAGGTATTTTAGTGAACCTGTGCTTCTGGACTGTGAACTTCACATATGTTTCTGAGTTTTTTGTTTTTTTCCCTACTTGCTTAAGTCACACAGGATGGCTAAGGAGGGCTGGAGTGAGGTCACAGAGCAAACTGCTGCTTGTTAATCTACTTTTGGGGGCAGCAGTTTGTCCTGTGACCTCACTTTTTTCAGTTTGTTCAGCTTTTTACTTGTTAGGACATAGTAGGGACTTTAAGGAAGCTGGAAGTCTTACCTTTGCTTTTTGAACGATATTTTAGCTGAGTATAGAATTCTAGGTTGTTAGTCATTTTCTTTCAATCCTTAAAGATGATGCTTCGATGTCTTCTGTCTTGCATTGTTTCTGAGAAGTATGCTGTCATTTTGTCTGTTTCTATGTGTGTAACGTTCCTTTGTTCTAGTTGCCTTTAAATTTTTAAGTCACTGGTTTCAAGCAATTTTATTATTCTATGTCTTGGCATAATTTTCTTCATGTGTCTTGTGCTTGGAGTTCACTGAGCCTCTTAGATTTGTGGGTTTATAGTTTTCAACAGATTTGAAAATTTCTCATTCCTTATTTCTTCCAGTACTTTTTGTCTGTCCTCTCTCACCTCTTTGGGGACTCAAATTATAAGAACGTTAGGCAACTTTAAGTTCTGTCAAAGCTCATTGACATCGTGTAATATTTTTTCAGCATCCCCCCCAATTTCCACATCTCTAAATGTCCTTTCTTCTGCACTGTTGAATCTGCTGTTAATACCATTTAGTGTATTTTCATCCCTGACATAGTATTTTTCATCTACAGAAGTTCAATTTGAATTTAACATGCTCAGTCTTTCTCTACACTCTTAAATATATGGAATGTAATTATAATAACTTCATATGATTAAATTTGACGAAAACTAATAACTCTCTTAACTACTTTAATGTCTGTTTATACTAATTCTATTTTTGTGTAATTTCTGGGCTGTTTTTACTGCTTCTTCAATTTTGAACTTTATTTTCGTGCTTTTCTGTAGGTCTATTAATATTTAAAGACCAGACAGTGTGAATTTTACCTTCTTATAGGCTGGATATTTTTGTATTCCTAAGACTCTTGAGCTTTCTTCTAGAACAAAGACATTTGGAAACAGTTTAATCCTCTTTAGCCTTGCTTCTCAACCTTGATAAGCCAGATCAGAGAACTTGTTCTCTATTTTTTCCCACTACTGAGGCAATACACGTCTTAGCACGCTAACCAAAGCCCTGTATTTTTCATGATTTTCCACTTTTTCTGGTGGGAACATGTCCAAGGATTTTTTTTCTGTTCCTTTTGGGTGATTCTTTCTCCACCTCCACTCTCCACCTTTGGTGAGAAGCTTCCTCACCAGATGCACTGCTGCACTCAGCTGAATATTCTGGGAAACCCTCTGTAGGTCTTTGGGGCGGTTTGTGCATCCCTGTCTTAATACTCTGCTCTCCAGTCTCATGCTACCTTGGCTTCCCAGGCTCCTAACTCCTTTTGAAATAAAGGAGGCCTTTCCTTGTGTTGTAGCCTGGAAACTCTCACCAGGCAATTAAGGTGGGGGCAATATTGGGGTTCACCTTACCTATTTCTCATCTCTTGGAAATCACTCTCGTCCTGCCTGACACCTAAATCAATGGAAACAATTGTTCCATACATTTTTGTGTGTTACTTTAAGTAGTTTCTGATAAGAATTACTCCATATTGGCTGCGAGTAGAAGTCCCTCACATAAATAAATCTCTTCTTGTGATCATCTGTCAGGCTTCTGTGTCTCTTAACTGCAAAAGCAGCATTATTAGCTCCCTAAACCTCTTAAAAACAAAATCATTTTGTTCTTGTTTATTAAGAGAATGCTTCTCTAAGGCAGTGATTGGGACCTTCCTTTCCTCCACAATATACTCAAGGGATGCAACTACATAGTATCATTAACAGCGGCTTTCAACTGCAATGATTCTTAAGGAAATGGGGCATTCGTGTGTGGCCTGAAAATAACCATTAATGCTTCTAATATGCTGAAAATTTACATCTGTACCATTTCTCCTTTGTGTATAATATTGGCTGACTTGCTATACTTATTAAGAGTATTTTATTCCTTTTATTAAGAATCTTTATAATCTTTTTTAAATTGGGAATAGGCTTTAAATATGATCAACTTTTTGGCATCTAATAATACCTGAGTTTCTACTGATATAGCATTTCCTTATATTGAGCCTACATATAGCCCTAAAATAAAATGAGCTTGGGCAGGAGATATTACTTTTATTTCTAAATGCCACATGCTAGTGTTTAAGATTTTTTTTTTCTTTTCTGAGACAAGAGTCTCACTCTGTTGCCCAGGCTGGAGTGCAGTGGCATGATCTCGGCTCACTGCAACTTCCTCCTCCCGGGTTCAAGCAATTCTCGTGCCTCAGCCTCCCTGAGTAGCTGGGATTACAGGTGCCTACCACCAAGCCCGGCTAATTTTTGTATTTTTAGTAGAGACGGGGTTTTGGCATGTTGGCCAGGCTGGTTTTGAACTCCTGACCTCAGGTGATCCATCCGCCTTGGCCTCCCAAAGTGGGGATTACATGCATGGGCCACTGCACCCGGCTGTATTTAAGAATTTCAATGCATGTGCACAAGTGAGAACAATCACGTTTTCCAATTTTAGTAATCTACTTCGCATTTTGTTACCTTTGATCGCAACAACAGGAACTCATTCGTGTTAAGCCAAAGTATAATTTATTGGAAAGATACAGTTTACATAACAGCAGAGAAGGCTGATGAACCAGATTCAGAAAGACACAGGGAACACTTTAGCTTCTCATCTTCAATGTGAATAAACCTCAATCATTTTCTTTGCATTATTTCAAAGAATTCATCTAATTAGCTTAGTTTGGGTCTCATCCTTATTAAAAAGTTAAGGGAAGTAGCTGACAATCTCACCAAAGCTCTATACAATTGCAGATGAGTTAATTCTCTAAAAGTTAACTGAGGTGCTACCACTAGAAAAAAAGAAATGGAGGCAAGACAGATAAAATCAAGAGATGGTCATATTGATGAAACAGTATGTCTTAAATTTTCCTATGCTCCAAAATAGGGAAATTAACAGCTACCTTAAATTAGAAATAACTAAGTGAACAGTTTCCTCAGGTACATTTAGTGAGCATTTGTAGAGTCCTTTCTCAATTTCTTCCCAATTATTGTTCTATTCAAATTTCTCACCTCTAAAAGAATCAACTTTAAAGATAGCTATAATTGATCACATCCATATCAAATACTAATAATTACTTTGGTCCATGTCCCCTCACTCCCAGATTTTAACCTATATACCAGGTGCACCTATGTGTCTCCTCATTTTGAGTTCAGGCTCATTGAATTTTAAAGACCACTTCAGACCTCAGATAGGCAGTAAGTTTATAAAAGCCACCCTTGTCTGCCTCAATATATAGAAATTTTTCTTTACTGTTGGTGACCTGTTACTCAGACTCATTGCCAAGAAATACAGCATAGTGTTTGGGAGTGTGAAGTTTTAAGTCCAACTGATTTAGGTTTCTAGCCCTGCTCTGCTCTTTTTCTTAGCTGTGTAAACTTGGCCTGTTTGCTTTTCCTCCTTTATTTAGTTCGTTCTTTCCTCTGTAAAATGTAGACACCAGGGAAACAAGAACCTGAAATTTCGCCATTATTTTGAGAATTCTCTTTTTAAGAGTAATCTTAAAATGTTTTAGGGTCTTCAAAAAATTGTTTTGCCTGTCATCTCTATCTTCATCCTATTATAGGTCCACGAAGTAAGTACGAAGAGAAACCAGTATAGGCCAATTGGACCGAGTACTAGCATACAGGTTCTGGTCCCAGCTCTATCATTACAGCTTTGTATCCTTGGGCAAACTAATTTTCTGTTAAAGTATCAATAAAATATAGAGTCTTTAATACATTAACGGTTTTCAAAGCCTAATCATATAGAAATACCTGTTATACCACCAATAAAACTGAATAATGACCCTTTCCATCAATATCAGTAAGTTTTGGACAGGGTATTTTCAACTTAAGTTTTTTTCTCCTGTACATTCTTCAAATATCCAGACTGCTGATGTTTTAAAAACCCAAAACATGGCACTATTCTGCCTGGTTTATCAAATTATTTTTTTAATACAACACACTCATTTTTCGCTAGCAAAACTGCTTATAATGGCACTAAATACACTAACATACTGTGTTTTAGTACAAAGCAATAATACTCAGAGTACTCTCAGGAAATCCGCAAGCTGAGTAAATTTGAAAAGAAGATCTTGTAACCACCCTTCCAATCGACTTATGTAGGGTTCTATGGCCCTAATTAAAAAACAAGAAAACTTTAGCACTCAAGTCCAAAGGGGACTGCCCAACTCAGTCTCAGGCTTCAATTTCGCATCTGGGGAAAAAAGAAACACAAAAGGGAGATGCTGCCTCCTTGGCTCTGGGGGTGGTGACGGGAGCGGGGCCCACTGGGGAGCGATTTCACTTAAACGGTCGGACATAGCCGTCTCGGGCCCCTAGCAGTCTCCGCACTCACTGCCTCCTTCTCGAACATGCTAGGCCTCCTTTCTTTCCTAGGCGTCACCGGAGCCTGCTGAGGGGTCTGGTTCGGGGTCTGGATGGGGCTCGACTTCACGCCTCGGCCTCGCTTCTCCATCTCGCTCTGTTCTCCAAGACGCCCACCGCCTCCCCTTCACCGCCGGCGGTCAAACGCCCTAGCCAGTCCCGCGAGGGCGGAAGTCTCCCACCTGCGCCTCGTACGGTAGGAAGTGCCCGCCAGGGCTCCAAAGCGCCTGGAGGAGGGGCGCGCAGGCGCCTGCGTCATTCACGCGCGCCGCAGCGGGGCACCGGAAGTTATGGAGGTAGGGCGGGTGTAGGGCCCGGTTCGATCCCGAGCTAGGCAGGGAGTCGGCGCCAGGCTGGGTGGTGCTCGGCTACGCGGAGTGGGCGAGCGAGCACGCGCCTGCGGTGGCCGGCGGTCCCGCGCTGGAGGGCGCTGGCGACGTCGCGGCCCTGGCCTCTGTGGCGGTATCGGACGCTCGGCCCTGCAAGACGCCTGGCGGGCCCTGCCGGCCTCCCTGGGCCAGGCTCGGTTTCTCCGTCGCCTCCTGGCCCTGAGCTGGAACGCGGCGGACGGTCAGGGAGGGCTGTGCGCGGTGGCGCGGGGGCGGAAAGCCGCAGGTCGGGCTCTCACCTGACCGTGGCTCGTTCCTAGAAGCGCAGTTTCCTAGTCGCTGCCTGTAGGGTCCACACTCGGACAGTAAATTTGTGTTCATCGCCGGGCGTGGTGGGGCCTGTGGTCCCATCTACTCCGTAGGCTGAGGTGGAAGGATCGCTTTAGCCCAGGAGGTGGAGGCTGCAGTGAGCCGAGATCGCGCCACTGCACCCCTGTCTGGGCGACGGCGAGACCCCGTCTCCAAAATGATGATAACGATAACTACCATTTTTGAGTACTATGTGCTAGATGCTTTTCATGTGTTATCTGATTACTGTAGCCCTACCAGGTGCAGCCTGGCACCGTTTTATTTCACTTAGAACTGAGATTCCGATAAAGTAACTTTTCCAAGGCAAGAGGTAGTCAGAGGCTGAGGAATGATTCAAATTTAAGTCCAGCTCCAAAGCACCGGCCCAGTGTAGTCTGCAGAGTTCCAGCCCCATAGAGCCACATGGAGGATGCGAGTGACAATCGCCAATCAACAAATAGTTGATGTAGATTTCTTTAGTGATGACTTAATTGTTAGGGCCTGCTGGGATTGTTCGAAAACCAGGGCTGAGAGTGGAAAGTGCAACTTCTGGGTGCAGGAGGAGCAAACAGGGCAACTGATAGCAGTTTCCACATTAGGAAGCTGCCCAGAGCTAATTATGACTGTCACAACACAGCCCCCCCTTAACTCAACACACCAAAATAAAGAGCTTCGGTTCCGCTTTAGATCCTGAATTTGACTTCTTTGCAGGTTTATACGATGGTCTTAGTGTCATGTGGGGTAATTGTGAGGATTTCGATTGTATTTAATTCTCCATGGAAAACCAGTACGGTTTGCTACTTTTTACATGGCAGGGAAGGCTAAACTTTACCTCTGCCCATCTTAGTTCGGAGTGACCCCTTTAACAAATGAAAGGATAACAAGAAAAAAGTTTATTCTTGGACAGAGTACACATCACAAGGGATAAACCTTAATGAGAAGTAACTTGAAATGGTGGCTTAGAACTACATTTGTATACCATCTTCAACAAAGAACTGTAGATTTGCAGAGAAGTGACAGGACACAGGAGAGCAGTTTTAGGCTTCAAAGGGCAGGAAATTGGGAAGGTAGATACATATTCGGAAACTAATGGAGTAAGAATTGTTTGCAGATTCCCCTGGTACCTTAACTGGTCTGGTAAGTCTAAAGTTATCCCCAGTAAAGAATTTATATCCTGTCTTTGGGCGGAAGAGGGGGAGGATAGAGAGAGCTTTTCCTTCATTTGCTGCCTCTTGTCTTCAGCTCAAATTTGTTGTTGTTTTTATATCGAAGAGGCATGTTTTGGGATGACATTGTGGTTTTCTTCAACACCGTTTAGGTAGTCAGAGGTACGTGGGGTTCTTTTTCCTTCTTGTTCGTTATACTTGGTTTCTGCTCTCCCATTCCCCATTTAAAAAAATTGCTTATTTTGATAACTCTGGGATAGTGAAGGAATGCTGAGAGCAATAATGCTCTGGTCGTAAAACACATTCAGCTTCCGTGAACTTGTATTTTTTCTTTTTTTTTTTTAAGTGAAAGGCAAGTTTATTAAGAAAGTAAAGGAATAAACAATGGCTACCCCATAGACAGAGCAGTTTGCAAATATTATGATTGATAATTTTAGGTCTTTAAGCCTTTATCATATTTGAGAACATTTATGTAAATTATCTTTAATATTTAATCACTATGTTTTAATCATACAGCTCTCACGATATCCAGAAAGCATGTTAACAGCAACTATACCTGAGTGCATTCAGTTCTTAAGAGATGTGTCTGAAATATATAATACTCTATTTTTCTTTCTGTTAAGCAGTGCCTTTTATTTTATTTTATTTTTTAGGTATTAATAGGGGACCCTATTACCACATGTCTTTCTCCCTCAGTGTATGATATAATTTGTAATCTTGGGTTTCAACTCAGAGAAAATTGTGATATCAATAGCATTGTAACTCAGAATGGTGAAGTATGCTGGAAAACAATCACAGACTGTGTGAGCTACACAGAGTCAGGTTTGTGCTGTCTTTGTACTCCAAACTTTCATAACTGTCCCATTGAAAATGTCTTGACCTGTAAAATTCCCCTTTCTGACCATTGGTTCCTTTTGTTAGATAATGTTATAATACAGGCCTAACTCCAAGGAGAACAGGAATCAATGTGAAAAGAGAGGGAATGAGGCCAGAGAAGCATGGAAAAGTTAATGGAAAGCTGGGCTAAGAAAACCACCTCTACAGAGGAGGTGTCAGGAGGCACAGAGGGGCTGGTGGGCTGTTGATGATGTAGATCTCAGGGCCTTGAGATGATTCTCTGTAGGAGTCATGTGAATTAAGGGTAGAAAATGACCAGTAATAGATTATACAGTTATTTTAAGTGTCTTCTAGACATTCTTGCACACTTTGGAGCAGAGATATAGGTGGGGAAATTTAATAATAGTTATAAAAATTACAGATGAACATACTCTGGCCTAGCAGTCCGTTTTCAGGAATCCTTAAGACAGATACAGATATGAAAATGTGTGTGTGCAAGGTTATTCCTTGCAGCATTGTTTATAATAGCTAAATAAATAAACAGCCAAACATCAAGCAGTAGGGGATTGGTTCAGTAAATTATGATAAATTCATATAATGGAATATTATGCAGTGGTAGAAAAGAATGAGGAGGCTCATCTTATACAGAAGTCTCTGAGCTAAGTTGGAAAAAGAATAGGAGGGGCATGTATTTGTAATTACCCTTTGGTATTCATTGATCAGGAACCAAGTAGATGGTTAATCCCAAACTTATCAAAAAAAATTAAAACAACAAAAACTTCATATTATAAATATGTTTAAAACAATTCATTGCCATTAGAAATCTCAGCCTAATAACGTTAACGTAAAAAAATCAGGTTACAAAATTGTATATACAGTGTGAGCCTGGTTTAATTAAAAAAAAAATCAGGTTACGAAATTACATATACAATGTGAGCCTGGTTTTCTGTATTCTTATGTACAGGTAAAGACATTGACAAAATAGTTTTCTCTTGTTTGAAACTTTTTGTATTTTCTAAATTCTCTGCTGATAGTATATTTTTCTTTCATAACCTGATAAGCATTATGTGATTTATTTCCAACAATATAAAAGTATATCATATGTTCAATGGTAAGCTAATTGTTGATTTTGTGGAAATTTTATAATTAAAGCATTTTTTTCTTTGATGATGTAGATATTTTATATCATGTGATATGGAGCTATGGTGCTGAAATTTGTTTTCTTATCCTTTAAGAGCAGGGTCTGGATTACTGGGGAAGCGTGAGGCTGCTGGGCCCTGTGTGTGAGGCTGTCCATTCACATTTCTTATCTCTGACCAAGGGGCAATTTGAAATTCGATATGCACCGTGGTTCCAGTGGACAAGTTTTCCAGAGGTTTGGCTTTTGAACAACCTTTAGAAATAAAAGACTGTGCGAATACTACTTAGAGGACGTACTATTTGCCAATTTTAAAGGGGCCTCCTTCATCCCCAGGCCCTCCAGCGGTGAAGTGTTGAGGGTTGTAAGAGAACCCTGGGCTATTATGCAGGGTCTCCAAAGCCTGAGCTGAGAAACATGCCCCTTGGAACACAGGAAGGTTTTGAATTCATTATCACAGGATTAGGGGTTGGAGAGCTAACATTTGTCACACGGTGCCCATCCAAGGATAGAGGAAAAATTTACTACTCCAGAATAAGGCGTTGTGGAGAGGTATTGAGGTGTTCTAAGACAGTGGGGCCTGGAGACCAGAGCTGGGATACTTGGTTTGTTAATGGGGAACTGAAGGGAGTATGGGTAATTTGGGGCCTAACCCAAAATCTTGTTTTCATTTGTTTTTTTGGTCAGTTTTTCTTCATTTTATTTGGCACACTAAATGACCCCAGTAAAGCAGTAACTATAACAAATCTAATTCTGCTTTGAATTTGGAGTGAAGGAATCATCATGTCCCCCTTGTACTAGCACTTTTAAATGGCAGGATGAGTGCCTTGTGTGTATCTGTTTGAGGGCTCAGCCAAATCAAAAGGAGAAACATGATGGAGGTCAAAATGCTTGACTTTTCCACTTAAATTGTGCCAGATTTGTTGCTTTCAATAAACGTTTAAATAAAGAACCTTCAAGGAATTCTTTAGCTATTAAAATATTTTTATTGATTCTTTAGGCAATATAATTATACAGAAAATGTTTACTTATTCACTGAAAATAAAATATGGCAGTTGAAATCTCTCGAGGTTTGAATTTCAATAAATAATATTGTTGCTTTGAGAAGTAGTTTCAGAGTGTACATCCTAATATGTGTTTTATTGTAAATAGTTATTTCCTGAAATATTTGATGCCTTGGAAAGTCTACAATCTCCTGCTATTTCTCTTAGCTTAATGAAACTGACATCGTGTCTAGAACGAGCCTTGGGTGATGTAAGTGTGAGAACTCTTTCATTATTGGCCCATTAAATTATCTGAATGAACATGAAACTATTTTACAGTTGTCCTCAGTTTTCTTGATTATTTTCCTATAAGATAAAATCATTTAGTATGAATTTTTAATATTTCCCTTTTGAATGATTATGAAATCAAAGGATTGGTGTCTAAGTACTTTTCACCCTTCATTTGTACAAACAGTTGCTTCATGGATAATGTTTTTAATGTTTATTGGCTCATAATACAACTGTTACACAATTTTTGTTTGAATTTTAGGTATTTTTACTGATTGGGAAGGAATGCCCCTTTCTTTTAAGAGATCTGCTTTCATCTGAGGAGCTTGCTCAAGTCTTCAGTCAGTCTGTGGTAAGCTTGTTCATCTAAACTCATGGAGTATATTAGTCCGTTTTCATGCTGCTGTTAAAGACATACCCAAGACTAGGAAGAGAAAGAGGTTTAATTGGACTTACGGTTTCACATGGCTGAGGAGGCCTCAGAATCATGGCAGGAGGAGAAAGACATTTCTAACAGGGCGGCAGCAAGGGAAAAATGAGGAAGAAGCAAAAGTGGAGACCCCTGATAAACCCATCAGATCTCATGAGACTTATTCACTATCATGAGAATAGCACGGGAAAGACCGGTCCCCATGATTCAGCTGTCTCCCCCTGCGTCCCTCCCACAACATGGGAGAATTCTGGAAGATACAATTCAAGTTGAGATTTGGGTGGGGACACAGCCAAACCATATCACGGAGTAAGTGCAAAACAACAATTCACATATGCTGAGCTTTTGTTCTTCCCAAACTGATGATGCTTTAGGGAAAAATTGTATCAGTGATTCAAGCATATTCTCCCTTCCCACCTTCCCTTTCAAAATTGCCCCTCCTCCAGCACATAGAAAGCTTTCCTATCCCGAGTGTGAATAACTCTGGGGCACCACAGGGCCAATGTGAAGCATGTTGCCTCGATCAATTACATATTAATAACTATAATACTAAATCCAGAATACAACTTTAACCCTTTAAATGAGTGATAATACAGTTTTATTTGAAAATTTTAACGTGAAATTATCTTTTGAAACCATTTAAACTTACAGTGGAAAAAAATTCAGATGTTAAAAAAATCATGCAGTTACTATACTATATTAAAATCTCATAAAGGGCACATGATCAAGAGACTTAGGACTAATGAATAACCTTAGGCAGCTGATTGAGGCAGGGTCAAGATGGAGAAACCCAGAAGAGCCTTGTGTGGAAGCTGTGCTTGCCAAGCCAGGGTGCTAGATGATTTTTGGAGTAAAGAAATCTGTCTTCAGTGGAGCTTTTCCATTCTTTTCTGTGGATCTTTACTCCTTGTCCGCTTAAAGATCATTTTCTTTTGTGGAGTGCATGGAATGAAGATAAAAAGTACAAACCTCTTGTTACACTGAATTCTCAAACACATTTTGTTTCTTCGATCTGTTCTTTGGTACTTGCTTATATGTGATGGGCCTTCTGCCCACTTGTGGCCCCTTCAGCTGCCAGGTCACTGGCATTTATACATCTGATTGACCAGATAGTGTGAACCATGAGTATTTCACAAATTATTGGTAGAGCAAAAAGATCTCCTGAAGTTGCATAGAAGAACTGCTTGTTAAATGTTCCAACATTCAGTAGAACTGCTCTTGATCATTTCCACCTCCTGGTTTTGGGTCTTCCCCTTGAGGGAAGTTCAGAATGCGTCCATATTCCCTTCTCAACAGCCATCTTTCACATGCATGAAGACAGTGTTCACTTCCTTCTCGAGTCTTCTGGAGGCTCAACCATACTTTCTCCTATGACATGAATTCTTTTAGTCTTTGAACATCTTCCATTATGTTCTGAGTTTCTTCTAAGTATGGCGCCTCAAACCCAAAGCAGTTCTCTGGGCATGACATGACTGCAGTCCATTTATTAGGACGCCTGGTTGGGTGTTTTCTTCACTCTGTAGATAGATGGTGGGGTGGATAAGTGATGGGCTTCACGTCAGACAGCTAGGAAGTGGAGGCTCAAGCCTGGAGCCATGCTGCTCGGGCATCTGCCCTGCTGCCTCTGTTTAACCACACAATTGCGTGCTGCTTAATACAGTGATATGTTTCTGCTTATCATATCATTGTCTTTTTACATTTTATTTAGATATTATGCACATTTGAAGCAACTTTATTAAAGCAGGATAACCTGGGTCAGATCTTATCCCCCATATTGATTTTGTAGCCTTTGAGACCTTGGTTTCACCTTTCCATGCTTGTATTTTTTTCACCTAGATGCTGGGGATAATCATAGTACCTTCCTCATAGGTTGTTCTTAGGATGAATGAGTTGATGTACATGTACAAAATGTGTCTAGCACATATTAAACACTCAGTAAATGTTGGTTTTATTATTACTGCTATATACTAGCCAAAACTGTTGACTCTCAGTTAAAAAGAGGAACACAAATGTTATCTTCATACTATATTGGTTTATTCAGTAATTCAGTATAATTAACTATGTAATGATTTGCGGATTAGATGAATGTGCTAAAAGTCTTCGTTGGCTCTCCGTGTGGTCTCAACCTGCGTAACGTCTTATGGCATGGGTTTGCGTCACCTGAAGAAATTCCTCCAAAGTAAGTTGCAAGTGAAGACATTTTCTTCCTTTTTTGGATCTACCAAAGAGTTTTTTAAATTTTGAATTTCATGAGAAGGAAATAGATTTTGTGAAAGATAAGTGAGTTTTGAGATAGGATTTTGAAGCTAAAATTGAATATTACTAGTGTAGTCACCAGAGTGATGACTGGGTTATAATTTCAGTGACTTACACCCCAAAGGCAATTCAGGGGTGACACCAGAAGGATGTTATGCCATTCACGTCCTGGGTGGGTGGGAGACCCTGAGTTTCATTAGGGTCTTCATCAGAGTGTCTGTGGTGCTGTTGTGCTGCCCAACTACTGCACAGTCTAATTCCTACATCGAGAGAATTTTGTGCAATTTTTTTTTTTGAGATAGAGTGTCACTCTGTCACCCACGCTGGAGTGCCATGATACATTCTCAGCTCATTACAACCTCCTCCTCCCAGGCTTAAGTGATCCTCCCGACTCAGCCTCCTGAGTAGCTGGGACTACAGGCACACGCCACTATGCCCACCTAACTTTTTTGTATGTTTTGTAGAGATAGGATTTCACCTTGTTGCCCACACTGGTCTCAGACTCCTGAGCTCAACTGATCTGCACGCCTCGGCCTCCCAGAGTTCTGGGATTACAGGCATGAGCCACCGTGATCGGACAGTTTCATGCAATTTAACTTTGCTTTCTTAATTTTAAATTTGTATTTTTCACAGTGAAGCTTTTTATAGGCATGATTGAGTACATTTTTGTAACAGATCTCTATGGTATTTCCTAGATACTGTTCAATGATGATACTGTTGACGGCAGGATTGGGTCAGTTACTGAAGAGTTACCTTCAAAACACTAAACTTACATTGGCACATCGCTCTTTCATATCTCTTACAAACCTCGAGGATTTGATTGTTTTTCCTGGTAAGTACTATGTTTCACATTTTTCCTTATAGCTTTGCGTAGATATTTGCAAAGTCAGTAAACAGCATTAAGAGGTGCACTCTTGAGGTGGGGTGAAGTAGTTGTTCTTCAGTAGTCGGATGGCTTTCAGAGTTGCTTGAAGAACCTCCTACATTTTACCACCCAAAGCCCTGCCTCCTCCCACCATGCCCTGGGGTTGTTGTGGGGGTCACAGGAGTTGCAGCTGTGTGAGCTGAGCTCTTTCTTCCTCAGATGCACTATGAGCAACAGTGGCCTCAGGCTGTTGTATGATGTACATTTTCTCCTCCTTTTACCTCTTGTGTCTTTGTACTCATGATCATTATGCCAGAAATACTTGTAGTAATATCAAGGGTCTTTTACACCTTCTGAAAATGTGTTTTACTTCTCTTGGTCATTGTGCTCAGTTGGTCCATCCTGAACTGTTGCCTAAGTCACTGAAGAGATGTCCATGCCCCACTTTCCAAGGGTCACCTGCACCTCGGGCCCTTGGTCAGGGCAATCCTACTCTCTAACAAGTCCCCTGCTGCAGGGGTCACGGTTCAGCCACCTAAAGGGGTTGGCTCATTGGCATCACTCCCCCAGCATGTTTCCATCTTTTTTCAGTTGATCAGTATGATTGTGTTTAAAACCGTGTGTTATTTTACAGATGTTACTTATGAGGTGCTTTCAGTATTAGAAGAAGTGATGATGAAATCTGCTTTTATATTAAAAATCATGTTACCATATTGGGAAGTTGCACTGGTCAAGTTCAAGTCACACAGGTAACTAAAGGGTACATGGCAGAGTGGTTTGCAGTGGTTGGAGGCCATTCTTTCTTGATGCCCTTCACTTTCGATGCTTTTTGCTGTTGGAGTAGAAGTGAAGAGAACCTGGACTGACTTGAGCAGACCTGAAAATAAAACACCTTCATAGAGTCGCTTCAAGGACCGCCTGTGATTATATTGGAAACATTGCCTTTTGGTGCAGGTGATAGAATTATTTTTCAGGATCCACTTTTTAATATTTTCTGGAAGTCTTAGAATGAGTGAAACATGTTCAGAATCATGAAACATAGATAAGCCAGCTTCGTCCTTACATTCTGTTTCTGTTTCCTGAGGAGCAAACACATGTATGGTCGCCACCAGAAGGTCTGGTGAGCTGATCTTTAGTTCCTTAAAGGATATTACCCTAATTCATTCATTTTTATGCCTTGAGAACCCACTGAAATCCTGGGATGTGCATTTTTGTTTTTTTCTTTTTGAGACTGGGTCTCACCCTGTCCTCCAGGCTGAAGTGCATTGGAGCCACCTCGGCTCACTGCAGCCTTGAACTCCTGGGCTCAAGCAGTCCTCCCACCTCAGCCTCCTGAGTAGATAGGACTGTAAGTGTGCACTACTGTGCCTGGCTAATTTTTGTACTTTTTCTAGAGATGAGGTCTCAGTCCATTCCCCAGGCTGGTCTTGAGCTCCTGGGCTCAAGTGATCGTCCTCCTGACTCAGCCTCCCGAAGTGCTGGAATTATAGGAGTGAGCCACTGCACCCAGCCTCAGTATTTTCTAGAAGCAATGAAATGAGTTAGACAGTCCTTTGATGACATTTTATTCTGTAGAAGCTACTAAAAATGGTTCATCAAACATTAAAACACTGGAAAATGTTTTTAAAATCACTAGTTAGTGAAACTTTTGTTCTATGTGTAAGTGGTTTTGTTTTGTTTTGTTTTGTTTTTTGAGACAGAGTCTCACTGTGTCACCCTGGCTGGAGTGCAGTGGTGTGATCTCAGCTCACTGTATCCTCTGCCTCCTAGGTTCAAGTGATTCTTGTGCCTCAGCCTCCCAAATATCAGGGACTATAGGCATGCACCACCACGCCTGGCTGATTTTTGTATTTTTAGTAGAGACGGGGTTTCGTCACATTGGTCAGGCTGGTCTCAAAGTCTTAGCCTCATGTGATCTGCCCGCCTCAGCCTCCCAAAGTGCTGGGATTACAGGCTTGAGCCACTGCGCCCAGCTGGTTCTGTTTTGCTTCTCGTATTAGCAAGTATTATCATTTCTCTTTGCTTTTGATATCTAGACTGCAGCAGTTATTGTGATGTTGGTGTCAATATTATTTTTGTTTTTTGCTTGTTTTTTACTTAGAGAGTCTTAGTCTGTCACTCAAGCTAGAGTGTAGTAGCACAGTCATAGCTCACTGCAGCCTTGAACTCCTGGGTTCAAGCAATCCTCCCGCCTCAGCCTCCTGTGTAGCTAGGACTACAGGCAGTGCCACTGCACTCTGCTAATTTCTAAATTTTTTGTAGAGATGGGGTTTCCCAGGCTGGTCTTGAACTCCTAGCCTCAAGCGATCCTCCCACCTTGGCTTCCCAAAATGCTGGGATTACAGGCATGAGCCACTGCACCTGGCCTAATATTTATTTTTGAAATGTGGAGTTTTACCTCTTTTCCCTTCAATTTCATAGGTTTGCTGACTGCGCCATATTGTTGCTGACACAACTGGAGACTGGACTTAGGAATGTTTTTGCCACACTTAACAGATGTCCAAAAAGACTCCTGACTGCTGAGGTAAGCTTGTTTTTATTATTGATTGTGATCATTGTTGCTGTATTAACAGTTTTCTGTTACCAATTAAAAGTTTTTAAAAATGTTATTCTGTTTCACATTAAAATGATTTTAATTTAGCTAAGAACTGTGGAAGGCCTATCATTTCTATAGGATTTATATTTATGTTATTTATGATTGTTTTTGATATTTCTGTAATATTTCTAAACAGTCTTTAAAACTCAATGATACCGTGAACGTAGTAGGCACTGGTTCTCTCTCTAGCTGTGTTGATGGTGTGTCACTGTAACCGCGTGAGATGGCTGCGGTCTAGCCGGGAGACTGAGGTGACCAGTGGTTGAACCTGACCTTGGGAAACTAATCAAAACCTTCTGAACTTGAGTTTCTCCATCTTACAAATGGAAGACGTAGGATTTGGAGGTGACTTGGTGTGGTGCCAGCCCTGCAGCAGGTCATGAAAGCCTTTGTCTCAGTTTCTTGAGCCCCTCCATGTGTGTACACACACGCGTACACACAGCTGTCTCAGAGTTCCACATTGACCCCCGGTCGCCCTGTCTGAGGCAAGCGTCTCTGAGTTTCCAGCCTACCTCCTCTGGCTCCTAGAATTTCTCATTTCTGCTCCTTTTTAGTAGTTATGATAAGATCCTGCTGCTTAGTGACAGAGATCTCGAAATAATATGGCTGCAGTGACTGAAATAGGATAGAAGTGCATTTCTGCCTTTCCCAGATGTGAGTAGCTCCCACTGAGATGGCAGCACCCCCATCATCAGCACTCAGACCCCTCTGTGTCGTCTTCCAGTGATGAGGGCCAGGCCTTCCTTATGGAGACTACTACTTCCTGGCTCCAGCCGGCTGTGTCAGCCATCACATCTGCTTTCCAGCCAGCAGGAAGAGCAAAGATTGGTGCATGCCCCTCTCTAAGGACACTTCCTGGAGGTAGCACAGGCCTTGGGCCAGGGCTTAGTCGCACTTGCTGCCAGGGAGGCATGGAAGCGTTCCTGGATGGCCAAGTGCCCAGCTTCCCACGGGACGATCTGTTGTGGAGGGAGGGCAGGTGCAGCCGCTCCACACCTCGGATTCTCGTCTCTTTCTCTAGCTTGGCTTTTGCTTTTTGCCCCTCTTTGTAGGCATTCCTCAATGCTCTGCCGTCAACCCCATCCTCTGTTTCCTCTCCCTGGGAGATCTCATACAATTCTCTGCCTTACATTTTCATCTCTGGGGGAACAACAATTAGAAAATACTTTGAACCCAGTGAAAATGAAACCCAACACATGGAAGTTTTGGACCCAGCAAAAGCAGTGCTGCGAGGGCAGCTTACGGCCCCGGAGCCGGGCTCCCCAGTGTTGCTTCTCACTGACCCCCATCTGATCTCTGCAGTTAGACCTGCTTATGTTCACTAAATATCTTCATGTGAGTTTTCCTCAGCACCTCACATTTATCTTCTTTCAGAAAGGCGTTGTTTCCCACAGATTTGTCCTCTGACGCTCCCTCTGTCATCTCAGCCTCACCAGCTGCAGACTCCAGCAGCGTCTCGTGTTTCCCCAACACCTCCCGTGTCCACTCAGTGGCCAGCACAGCCGGTGGTTTCCACCCAGCTGACCTTGTGCTCTTCCTGTCCAAACTGAGAAGCCCCCCGCCTGGCTCCTCGGCCCACCCGAGCTCATCTCACGATTCTTCCTCCTTCTCAAATTTCATTCTCACAGTCCTGCTGATTCTTTTTTTTAGTTAGTTTTTTTTTTTTGGTTTTTTTTTTTGAGGCAGGGTCTTGCTTTGTCACCCAGGCTGAAGTGCGGTGGTGCAGTCATAGCTCACTGCAGCCTCAATCCCCGGGCTCAAGCGATCCTCCCACCTCCGCCCCCCGAGTAACTGGGACCATAGATGTGTGCTACTACACCTGGCTCATTTTTACATTTTTTTTTTCCTTGTAGAGACAGAGTCTTGCCATGTTGACCAGGCTGATCTTGAACTCCTGGGCATAAGTCATCCTTCTGCCTCAGCCTTCCAAAGTTTTGGGATTGCAGGTGTGAGCCACCATACGTGGCCCCACTGATTATTTTCTAAGCTGATATTCTTACGTTATTTATGGTTTTTTTTCATTTGTTTAACCTCCTCGATGATGTCCTGCTGCCTGCCAGATGGAGTTCATCCTCTTCACGTGGCAGCAAGGCCTCGGGTTCTAACCCTGCCCTCCTCTTTGGTGTGTTCCCTGTTTGGATACCTCAGTGAAATTTAGGCTTCTTGTCAGCTCCAGAACTTGCTTGTCTTTCCTCTTACTTTGTTCCTCACCCCCAGATTTTCCGCTCCAGGTCAGGGGCTGTGGCCACAAAAGCGACCTTCCAGAGGCTCATCTACTCAAAGGTGGAGGCTGCTTTTCTCTGTGTTCTGTTTCTGTCTCATCTTGGAGGCAGTCCTGCTTTGCCTTACTCGTGTGCATTTCTGCAGAGGTCTCTGCGGGTTCTCTGAGGCAGGCCTACACGTTGCTGTCGCCTGCTGCCCATGCCCAGTGCCTTCCATGTAGGCCACTCAGCGCGGTGTGGAGCGAAGCTTCAGGAAAGAGCTGGGCCCCACCCATTAGAGCCCTTGCTTCATGATACCTGCATGGGGATTGGCTGCACGGTGGCACGCACCATCACTGTAGGGCCATGCGGTGCAAATAAATTTGGATATTTACTTGTCATTTGACTTCATAAATAAATAACATGGCTGTTTCCACAGAGGATATAATCTATCAAAGAATATATTATTAGCACAGGCTTTCACCCAGAATAAACAGGATCAGTTTTTAAGGCAGTACATATATGAAGATATTTTATAAAACTTAATAAGACACTGCAGATGCTGTTATTATTTACTGATTACTTTTGTGTCATGAGGTTTCTTCAGGACCAGTGGAAGATATGAATATGAGTGAGATTTTCTGACTTCAGAAGCTTATTTATCATGGGAGAGTGAGAAGGCATTTATACTAACTCTGTAAAACAAAGTAGAAGCTAATGTGTGTAGTTGATGTAGGTAAATGAAAAATTCTGCTTTTTGGAGAAAGTGGGAATATGTGGTAGACGTTGGATATTTAGAACTCAGAGGGAATTTTAGGGCTAGCAATACAGATTTCAGAGCTAAAGATAACAGATTTTAGAGTCATCTGTGTAGTAATGTTGAAGAATATTGGCAATATGAAATTTAAAATAGATTATTAAACATTTATTATTAAACATTAATAAATCAAAAAACATTTCTTGAGAGCTAGCTTACACAAAATCCTGATTTCATCACATCACACCGCATGGCCCTACAGTGATGGAGCGTGCCACCGTGCAGCCAATCCTCATGCTGTCAAATCTCACTGAAGTGATTTCATCAGGCTGTCTGTCAAATCTCACTGAAGTGATTTCGTCACGCTGTCTGTCAAATCTCACTGAAGTGATTTCGTCACGCTGTCTGTCAAATCTCACTGAAGTGATTTCGTCATGCTGTCTGTCAAATCTCACTGAAGTGATTTCGTCATGCTGTCTGTCAAATCTCACTGAAGTCCCCAAAAGCCTTTTGAGATAGGCATTCTTAACTTCTCCTTTTGCAGAGAAAACCTGCATCTGTGGAGTTCAATCGGTTGCCTGTAGGTTTCATGTCTAGAAAATGTTGCAGTTGGGATCAGAACTCAGGACAGCACATGTCTGTAGGCCGTGCCGATGATGCTGAGAAGCAGCGTGCATGAAATAAAATAAAAACAGACAAGGCTATTCATTGGAGAAAATAGGAAGCTGTGCTCCCTTGTGCACAAATACCAGTCGTCAGGAGAAGTATTCTGTTGTATGAGCAGCGATTTGTGAGGGCCTGGGATTGTACATTTTAGAGATAACTGGGCTAAAGCTCTGTTGAGAGCAGTGTCCTAATGCGGCTTCATGGCCAGCTGCACTGTGTTTTTGCGTCTTTTGTAATGTGTTTATTTTGTCAGTGACATTCCTCTCATAGTGTTTCTAGATGAATGTTTGTTTTAACAAAAAACTTTGGGATGTGTGGCCATGTACCAGAATTTTTTCTTATTTTGCATAGTGTTAGTGTATTTGTATTTTGCTTTAATTGTTTATTTTCATTTCTTTCCTTTTCTGAAGTCAACAGCTCTTTATACCACCTTTGATCAAGTAAGTAAGTAAACTTGTAAGGTAACTTGAAACAAACAGAACGCTGTCTTCTTTTAAAATACAAATTAAAATGCAAAATTAAAGATCAGCCATAAATCATATACTTACAGGAAAATGTCCATAGTAATATAAACCAAAAAAAGCTGATAATTGATATTTCCGGTTAATTTTGGGGCCCAGTGTTACCAATCTAGCTCCCAAAGCTATCCAAAGCTCAAAGTTGGAAAATACCAAGGGATCTAACATGATTAGCTATAATTATTTAGAGGCTTGCATTTTAGATTTAGGGGTGACATCTTTTTTGTACAGGAAATATTCCCCGCTACTGTTACAAGTGTGTGGGATACATTGATTCATTTAATCTGCATGTTGGCGGTGTGAATAGTAGAAAACTCACAGTTGAAAATGCCTCTTGTCAGCCACGGAGCGCACAGGCATTTGTGTGCGTAACCCCGGGTAGCGTTCATGTGCACCTAAAGTGTGACGACAGCCTATGGGAAACCAAGGGAAGGGTCACCTGTAGAGGTCCGGACATTCGGTTTTGCCTTTAAGACAACTATTAGATCCTAAGCGACTGTGTTGTGGCTGAGTTAAAAATGTGCCTGTTTACTTGCAGAGCTTCTTCCATTAGGTGAACAATCTGTTGTGATTTTAATGTGTAAGACCTTTGGTAATGTGAGGAATTGATTAGATAGTGCAGCCCAGTCTCTAGAGGATCAGATCTGTGGGATTGGTTGGGGTGGTTGGGCAAAGTCCATGGTGAGTTAAGAAATGACTTTGGAAGTGACTCTAATGTGTACACAAACAACACACATGCACACACCACACATACATACACACACGAACACATACCTCCATGCTGCATATACACACACAGGCATACACACACTCTAATGTGTACACAAACACACATGCACATACCACACATACACACACACACATGAACACATACCTCCATGCCACACAGACACACACAGGCATACACATACTCTAATGTGTACACAACACACATGCACACACCACACACGAACTCACACATCCATGCCACATATACACACACAGGCATACACACATGCAGGCACATACACTACACACACACACACACACACACACAGGCACAGTTGCATATAAACACACAAATGTACACACCCCCACACCACATATGCACATACACATATACACACCACACATATTCATAGTCACATACACAAACACACATGTGTATACAATTATTAATATAGTCTTAAAGTCATTCTGTTGGTTAAGAAAATATTTCCTGAACACCTGTTTGCTGAATTTTAAAGACTGTCCATTTAATTTGCTTAGACCTTAGATAACAAGTTAGGCTAAAAGTACTATATCCATCAACTCTGAAAGTTCTGTATGTTTATGTATGGGGACCAGTTAACCAATGTATTTATTTTTGATGTTTTAGATATTGGCAAAACACTTGAATGATGGTAAAATCAATCAGCTTCCTCTTTTCCTTGGAGAGCCTGCTATGGTAAGTATTAGGTATTTTCCAGGCTAATATTCTTGTATTTATGGATGTCGTCAGCACTTCTCTAAAATTAAATTAATTTTGGCTTGTGGTTTGCTCAAGAAAAATACTTCTGAAACATTGCTGTGCTGTCTCAGCTTCAGCCACCAATCAGCTGATGTTTGCCAAGCTGTCACTCCTTAAATGTGTTTTTTAAAGGCCTGATGATTTAGCTGCCCTGTCCCTAAGCAAAATTTGTATTTGTTTTTTACATGTATTTGTGCTGTAGAACGGACATATATTTGTGCCTTGTTAAATGCAACAGTTAGGCCGGGTGCGGTGGCTCATGCCTATAATCCTAGCACTTTGGGAGGCCAAGGCGGGCAGATCACAAGGTCAAGAGTTCAATACCAGTCTGGTCAATATGTTGAAACCCCGTCTCTACTAAAAATGCAAAAATTAGCTGGGTGCGGTGGCGGGCACCCACCTACTCCTGAGTCCCAGCTACTCAGGAGGCTGAGGCGAGGAAAATGGCTTGAACCCAGGAGGCAGAGGTTGCAGTGAGCTGAGATCCTGCCACTGCACTCCAGCCTGGGCAACAGAGCAAGACTCCGTCTGAAAATAAAAGCAACAGTCAAATGTGAGTAATAAGATTGAGTATTGGATGAAAAGAGGATCATTAATTGTTTAAGGCCATCTATCCATTTTTTTATATTTTAT
Source organism: Homo sapiens (assembly GCF_000001405.40). Taxonomy (NCBI): domain Eukaryota; kingdom Metazoa; phylum Chordata; class Mammalia; order Primates; family Hominidae; genus Homo; species Homo sapiens. Next base: position 44,070 of record NT_187552.1, read on the forward strand.
GAAGATATTTCGGTGACTAATTTGGACTACAATAGGTATTTGACATTTATTCCTTCTAACAGTCAGGCGACCTAGAATCATGCTCATGTTCTGTGACTTTAGACTCCGTGCTCTGTGGACATCCATTTTTACCATCAAAAAATAAGATGATTGAACTAGTTTAATGTTCTTTCCACCTTGAGTCTCTGTGATGCTTCTGACCATTGGCGGTTTGCCAAGGGCAGCAGTTTTCTGACCTCTTTTCCCTAAAACCTGTGGGAGAGGCCTTGGATTTGTGTCGTAAGAAGCAACAGACTTTTGAAGGTGAAAGAGCAGATGAGAAAGTGCAGGGGCTGTGCTCACACAAGAAAGAGCCGTGATTTCTTTTATTGCCTTGGAAAAGCTCATTTGCAAATGTTCACACTCAGTTCCCTTCCTTGGAGGAAGGTGAAAACAAGAAAGACTGGAATTTGATGAGGCTCCAGTACCACCTGGGCAGCTCTGCTTTCCCCACAGCCTCTCTGGCTCCCTGGTCTGTCCTGTGGGTGTAGGAGAAGAGCTCTCCCCAGCAGAGTCCCACCCAGGGCTTCAGAGGACTTGATGGATGCACTCTTTCCTTCTATTCAGCAACACCAGGCACGTCTCTCTGCTGCGGATACTAACAAAATATTTTCTCTGTTTAATTTCTGAAAGGAATTTCTCTGGGATTTCCTGAACCATCAGGAGGGTCCCCGCATAAGAGATCATTTAAGCCACGGGGAGATCAACTTACATGAATTTTCAAAAGAAACAACTAATCAGTTGCTTGCATTTTCTCTTGTACTGCTACTCAGATTCGTTGATGACTGTCTGCTATCAGTTTTTAAGGTAATTTATAGGGAAGAAAATCATTAATTAGATTAACTCATTCAGCTATGAAAATATAGTTTATTTTTCAAATGTAATTAACTGTTAATCATCTTTTAATATATCTGAGTTACAGTATCCTCCATCAGAAAAAAAAGTGAATGGATTACATGTATGTTTATATTCTCTATCACAGATCAATCAATATTAATCTCAGCTAAAATAATTTAACTCGTTTCTTAAAAACACATTTGCTTTTGTATGTAACAGCAGCTAAGTATTGAAAAGGAAAGAACAAATTATAAAACAGGATTAACCAAATATTAGGAAATTTTTACAGATATTTGCTAAATCGATGGGGTAGGATATTTGCATCATCAATAAACTCTTTTATTTCAAAGTAAATAATTTAGGATAGAACATTTGTTATTTATATTTTAATCTTTTTTTCAGATTATACATGTGACAGTTATTTTAAAAATTGTTTAAATGTTCAAACAAAAATTACTAGAAATAGAAAAATTAATGTGAAAAGTAAGAGCCCTCAGGAATTCCATCTCTCAGAAATAACTACTGTTAATAATTCGGTGTTGTTGCTACCACATTTTTGCTATGAGTATACTAAAGTGAGTTCATAGGAAGGTATGTTATGTTTTATAGCTAGCATTTTTCATCAACTGTGTTTTTGGCATTTTTGTTCTGCCTTATTCTTTTTGTCAGCTGTTTGATATTCCATTTTATCAATATGTTATTATTTACCTAAGCAGTCCATCATTGATGAATGAGTTGTAATGTTCCCTGATGTAGAAAATTCCTAATTATTATGCTGAAATGAACATCTTTGTTCATTTGGGCACTTACGTAAATACTCTTAAAAAGTAAAGTTCTAAGACAAAATATATCAATAAGGTTTTTTTAAATTTTTTTATTATTATTATTTTTTATGAGACAGGGTCTTGCTCTGTCACCCAGGCTGGAGTGCAGTGGTGCAGTCATGGCTCATGGCAGCCTCAACCTCCTGGGCTCAAGCCATCCTCTTACCTCAGCCTCTTGAGTAGCTGGGACCACAGGCACAAGCCACCATATCCAGCCAAGATTATGTTTTTATTTTCATTTCTTTTTTTATGTTTACTAGATGTTTATAATTCCTTTGTTAATTGCCTATTAATGTATTTTCTCCATTTATTTCAGTTTTATTTTTCCCATTGGATCATTAGCCTTGTTTGTGTACATATTGCTTTGTTATTTGTTTATAGATTTTGATTTTTTTTTCTCTTTGGCTTCACATTTGGAGTCATTCTGAAAAGAATCTTTGCTTTTCAAAATTAAAAATATATGTATACATTTTCTCTGATACTTCTATTTTTTCTTTTTTCTTTTCTTTCTTTTTTTTTTGTTTTTTTTTTATTGAGACGGAGTCTTGCTCTGTCGCCCAGGCTGGAGTGCAGTGGCGTGATCTCAGCTCACTGCAACCTCTGCCTCCCGAGTTCAAGCAGTTCTCTGCCTCAGCCTCCTGAGTAGCTGGGATTACAGGCGCCCGCCACCACGCCCAGCTAATTTTTTTCTATTTTTAGTAGAGACGGGGTTTCATCATGTTGGCCAGACTGGTCTTGAACTCCTGACCTTGTGATCCACCCGCCTCGGCCTCCCAAAGTGCTGGGATTACAGGCATGAGCCGCCGTGCCCTGCCTATTTTTTCTTCATTTTCCATTTACGTCTTTTGATCCAACTGGAATTTATTTCATCTTGGGAGTAAGGTACAGAATCTAGCTTTACTTTTAAAAAAATTAATAGTTATTATTCTGTGTAAACTTGGACAAACATACAACCCAAAAAACAAATAAGAATGAGGCCCTCGTGGATTGAGTTAGGGATAATTGACATTTTTCACAATATTGAAGCTTATTCAGGGACACAGGTTCTCCCCATCTTCATTCCTCAAGTCCTCCCGTGTACGCGGCACCTCCAGCCTCCTAGGTGGCTGCTCAGGCGGGAAGCCTTAGATTCCTCTCTTCGCTTCATACTCAGTCCTTGGAACAGGTCTTAGAAATATGTTCCACAGTCCAGGCGCGGTGGCTCACACCTGTAATCCCAGCACTTTGGGAGGCCGAGGCGGGCGGATCACCTGAGGTCAGAAGTTCGAGACCAGCCTGGTCAACATGGTGAAACCCTGTCTCTAATAAAAATACAAAAATTAACCGGGCGTGGTGGCGGGTGCCTGTAGTCCTGAGAATAGCTTGAACACGGAAGGCACATGTTGCAGTGAGCCGAGATTGTGCCACTGCACTCCAGCCTGAATGACAGAGCAACACTCCGTCTCAGAAAAATAAAGAGAACAAAAAAAGAAATATGTTCCACATCTGCTACTCCCTGTCCCTCCTGTGCCACCACCTGGCCATGCCGCCTTGGCCCCTCCCTGGAGTGTTGCTGGCACTGACTGGTCTGCCCACCGACTTCTGCGAGCCCTTCACCTTGTCGTAACACAGCAGCCAGACTGATCCTTTTACCAACATGTCTTCCTTCTCCTCGGAAGCCCTCGGATGGGTTCACATCTTGGAACAGAAGCCAGGTGCTCTTCAGTGGCACACATATGCTGCGTGTGTGTCTGCCCTGCGGGGACGTCACCCATGCAGGCACATGAGTGTACCTCCCGTTTTCTGCCCAGCACACTCCCTGGTGCACTCCAGGCTCTTACACACCTGAGTGACGGGAAGGCCAGCACATTTCTTCTGTAGTTAACATCTAGCTACTTGAGTTGTTTGTTTTGTGCTTTTAAGAATTGTAGGTAGTGGGCCAGGCACAGTGGCTCACGCCTGTAATCCCAGCACTTTGGGAGGCCGAGGCAGATGGGTCACCTGAGGTCAGGAGTTCGAGACCAGCATGGCCAAACATGGTGAAACCCCGTCTCTACTAAAAAATAAAAAAAAATTAGCCAGGCGTGGTGGTGGGTGCCTGTAATCCCAGCTACTCAGGAGGCTGAGGCAGGAGAATCGCTTGAACCTGGGAGGCAGAGGTTGCAGTGAGCCGAGATCGCGCCAGTGCACTCCAGCCTGGGCAAAAACAGTGAGACTCTGTCTCAAAAAAAAAAAAAAAAAAAAAAATTGTAGGTAGTTACAGATTTTTTAATTTGTCAGCTATCAATTCACTGACTTTGTTTCTCATAGGTTTTAGTTGGCTGACTTGGATTTTTAAGTTATGTGGTTATATCAGCTGCAAATAATGTAATTTTTATGCTTTTTAAAATATGTATATGCTTGGCAATTAAATGTTTATGCGATCCTTTTTTTAGTTGTATTCATTTTTAGTGTTTAAGTAACTATTTCCTAGTTACATTTCCAATTGTTTGGAATCTTTTTTTTCTTATTCATCTCCAGTTTTGTGCACAGAGGGTGGGTGTGGCATTTGTGATCTATTATTGTTAATGGCCTCCATTTAAAATCATTTTATTGGCTGTCATTTGCCTGCCATGTCAAGCCTATTTTAATGAAGCACTTGCTTTTCTAGCTGCATAGAATTATTTGAAGAAAGATAATGAGAAATGGGGACTCTAAGTGGCCTACAGTTCAATAGAAGAAAGCTAAAAGCCCACCCAAACATGATAGTAACCACTGTTTTCTCTGCACTAGGAAAAATCAGCCGTAGAATTGTTGATTAGTCTTGCAGAAGGCTATAGTTCTCGCTGTCATCCGGTTTTTCAGCTTAAAAAACAGGTATGCCAAATGCAGGGTCCCGGGAGGGGCGTGTATGTCTCTGAAACCACCTGTCTTCTGCAGAGATGCTGGAAGGGTGCAGTTTGCTTGCTGAGTCAGACTTTGAGTTGGGCAGATCCAGCTTTTTAACCAGTGCGGGGCCTGCTGTGGCGCTGGCCTGGTTGCTCAGTCTTCTGAGTCTCAAGTTCCGTGTCTAGCAGTTGAAAGTAATGCGGTGCTGACGGCACTGAGGTTTTTAGTGTTAAATGGATGAGCACTGGGAAGTGTTTTTGCTGAGTCCCCTGGCAGGCTGTTATTGCTGTCAGCAGTAACGCAGAGCTAGGAGCAGTTTTTATTTGTCAGTGGTGAGTAACGTCAGTTTTTCTTCTACACGGACTAGCTTTTGTTAACTTACTGAGACAAACAATTTTTTAAGTGTTTCTGCCAGGAGGCTCCAATTTGGAAATCAGCTAAGGTGCTTTATTCTACATACGGGAGGATACAAGGGTAGTGCAAGGGGATGAAAGAGACAGTCCCCAAGAATATAAGCATCATGACAGTTGTGCAGGTGAAAATTTATAAATGAGATTACCTCTAAAAGGAAGCTGTAAAATCAACACACGGCGGGTCAGGAGAGATTTGCAAAGGCATTTTAAAGAAACGGTGCCTAGAGGCTGGGCGCAGTGTCTCACGCCTGTAATCCCAGCACTTTGGGAGGCCGAGGCGGGCGGATCACAACGTCAGGAGATCGAGACCATCCTGGCTAACACAGTGAAACCCCATCTCTACTAAAAATACAAAAATTAGCCGGGCGTGATGGCAGGTGCCTTGAGAAGTCTGAGGCCTCCTTGAGAATGCCTTAAGGAAAATACGGTCAGAAGGGGGTTGTCAACAGTGAAGTTGGGAAAACAGCCTTCTGGAGGTGTGGCTCGGAGGCAGAGCATCGGGCTGTGCTGGTCAGATGCCATTCCCCGTTGGCGCTGTGGACCAGCTTTACCAGTGGGGATGCCGTGCTTTCCAAGAGCAAGCCCTTACGAAGGTGGAGGTGGGCAGGTAGGGAGGAGGGAAGATTTAGGAAGGAAGAGGAGCTTCAAGAAGGCAGCCTTTGTCTTCTAACCAGAGCCACTGAGACTCCAGGCCATCCTCTGCTGTGCCCCATGGTGGCTATTTTGGGTACTTACCACTTCCTGTCCCCCTCCTGGCATCTCACAGGTATTCAGGCAGCTTTGCATCCTGGGCTTCCGTTATTCCTGCTGTTGATACCACCCACGCTCACTGGTGTCAGCAGCCACCGTTGTACTTGCTCATACGCTAGTGGGTTAGAAATGGGGAGCATCTGCCGAGGGATCTGTCTTGTGGCCTGACCTGGGCGTTGATGGCTGTGGTCCCCCAGGGCTTCGTGGGTGTCCCATCTGAGAAGGCTGGAAGTTGGCCAGGGGCTTCATGGGGGTCCTGCAGGGACAGTCCCAAGGTGACAGCTGCTGCACCTCGAGTGCGGCCTGAACTGGAGAGGCACCTGCACCTCTGACATGGCTTTGGATGCTGCACAGCATCGTCACACCTGCTGTGTTCTGTTGGTTCCAGGCCAGTCGCCAGAGCTCGTGCAGATTTGGTGGGGGCCTCCCTCTCAATGGCAGGTGTCCAAAGAACCTGTGGACATGGTCATAGCCACCCCAGACGTTCACTCCCTTCCAATCCACTGGTAGTTTCCGCAGCCTTCCCCCATCTGAATGTACTGAAGAACTGACACCCACCATCTGGTTTTAAAATGTTTAGAATTTGTAATAATTTACGTATTTTCTAGAGAGTGATGTAACATCCATAAAAACACAGATTTTCTAGGAAGTTACTGTGAAATCTACAAAAGCAATAAAACATTTCCTCCCAGGTGCTGAGCTGTGAGGAGAGCATCAGGGTTTGGGCTCTGCTGCCTTTCCCCGAAGAACTCACTCGGCAAGCCGTCAGGTGCGTGGCATCCTGGGGCCTGGCTGACCTCAAGCTTGTCTGGTACTATTAGTTTCAGCAGCATTTCTTCTTTAACGAGGCTGTGGGAAGATAAAAGGGGAAGGAGGAATTTCTGGGCCTTGGTGGCTGATGCAGGCTGTGGGGAGCTGGAAGTGTCGCTGAATGCGATCTTCCAACTGGCATGGGGCCCTGGTGGAGACTGAACATGGAACGAGAGGCAGGTTTTGTGGGTAGACAGTGGCGTCCATGAGAAGTACCCTGAGTAGATAGGAAGAAAGATGGGTCTGAAGCTCAGGAGAGAAGTAGGGATGGAGACATAAATTCTGGAATCGTAAACAACAGCAGACATCCTTGTTCAGCAGGAAGAATACGCAGGTGGTTCATCGTCTCGTCGTCACTGGACTTTGCTCTTGGCATATGGCATCGTTTGTTTCTCCACTGTATTGTCATGGTGGCTTTTTCCATTTTATATTTGAGGAAAGTGAGATTCACAGTCAGGTCGCTGCTCAGTGAACCATTGAACATTCTTGTGCACAGGCACTGATGTGAGCACTTTAATTGTCACGTATCTTTAAATATTTTCTGTTTTTCAGATTAGAAGATAATTCTGAAACAAATGCCTGCCACTCTTTGATTACAAAAATGACGGATGAGCTGTATCACCATATGCCTGAGAATCGTTGTGTGTTAAAGGACTTGGATCGTCTTCCTACTGAGACGTAAGTTCCAGGACATCCTGACAACTGTTGAAACATTGATTCAGCAGATTAGCATAGCAAACTTAGCATTTTCTATGTTTTAGATTTTATAAACTTGGTAGTAGTCTTAGAATCCCACTGTTACTGCTCCAGGAGGAATTATGAGATAAGTTTTGACAATCTCTGTGCAAGCTTGGCACATCTGATGAGGCTGTGAATGCCACATTCTGTTTGCCACAATTCAGTGTGTTTAGTTAACACTTGCCGCGTGTCACGGTTGTCCCTGCAGACCAACCAGCGATACGCCGCTAGCCCTGGCTCCCAGAAAGCCGCAGCCTTGCAGGTGCAGAAGGAGAGTGAGGCCCAGGTGAGGATCATGATGCCTGCTCCAAGTCTGGCTCTGTTTGCAGGTGGCCCCAGCTTCTCCGTGAGCTCTGCAGCACACCTGTTCCCACCCTGTTCTGCCCCAGGATTGTGCTGGAAGTGCTGGTTGTGCTCCGAAGCATCAGCGAACAGTGCCGCCGTGTGTCCAGCCAGGTCACCGTTGCCTCAGAGCTGAGACACAGGCAGTGGGTGGAAAGGACGCTGCGGTCTCGCCAGCGGCAGAACTACCTGCGTATGTGGAGTAGGTGCGCGCTCACTTTCCTGTTTTGGAGGGGCACTGTGGGGCAGGAAGTTGTCACAGATGCAGTTCTAGTCCTCACTTCCAGACACACACAGTAGCCCCTCACTGAACCCCATCGACAGGTGTTGATATACTTGGAGTCCACAACTGAGTGTGAACCCAAAGTATCTGAGACAGGTCTCAATCCAGTTAGAAAGTTTACTTTCCCAGGGTTAAGGACATGCTGTGACAGCCTCAGGAGGCCCTGACGGCATGTACCCCAGGTACTTGGGGCGAAGTTTGCTTTTACACATTTTAGGGAGACATAAGACATCAGTCCGCAGGTGTAAGGTGTACATTGGTTCCATCTGGAAAGGCGGGAAAATACAAAGGTGGGGGCCTTCCAGGTTATAGGTAGACAGGAGACAAAGGATTGCATTGTTTTGAGTCTTTGATGAGCCTTTCGGTGAATACACAATTTACTTGTGAGTGGGGGTAGAGGAATAGTCACTTAGACCTTAGTGTGGCTCAGTGAAGCTGCATTTTACATAGGGCAGAGGAAGCAATCATATAGGCATTTGTCTCAGGTGAGCTGGGGGATGACTTCCTGTCCCACACCTGGGAAGATCAGCTAGCAACTACATTGCCAGGGAGAAATTCAGCAGAACTCTTTCAGGGTAAAGATCTTGAGGCCCATGAGGAATTTCCTTGTGGACAAATTATGAGGGAGGTCTGTATGTAGCTTTTTTCTCTTTGTAGCCACCTTATTTAGGAATAAAATGGGAGGCAGGTTTGCCTGAGGCAGTTCCCAGCTTGGCTTTTCCCTTTGGCTTAGTGAGTTTGGGGTCCTGAGATTTATTTTCCTTTCATGATAGAAACAAAAGTTAAGTTCCCACAGCATGTTTCTGGTCATACAAATATTACCAAGCTTCTAAATGAAGACCCAAAACACTTACAATGTTAAACATTGAGGTATATATGAACTCTATGGACATTTAATAAAGATGAATTAAAAACAAGTGAGATAACCACTCAGTGTTTGGTGAGGCAGTGAGTGATGGCAGTCCAGGTGGTGGTTAAATGAGGCAATAATGTTTGCAGAGCAAGACCTCCCCAGGCCCGCCCCCCTTCCCCCCACCCACAGCTCCAGCGCCAACAGGAACAAATGTGTGGGTCACTGAGCACTTTTGTATCTGTCACTTACTGTCGAGCACTTGTATGATTATGGTAGACTTTACAAGTTCTTATAATTTGTATTCATTCATTCATTCATTTTCCAACCTGCTTATTCCAGTTCAGGGTCAGGGTTGTGGGTGGCTGGAGCCTATCCCGGCTGCTCTGGGTACAAGGCAGGACCCACCCTGGACAGGACGCGTTTCCGTCGCAGGACGAGTCACACACCCACACTCACTCTGGGACCATGGAGATGCGCCAGTTCACCTAACGTGCACAGCTCTGGGATGTGGAGGGGACTGGGGGACAGGAGAAAACCCATGCCGAACCCATAACGAATGTGCTTCTCCACACGGGCAGTGGCCCTCCTGGGGCATCCATTTCTTTTCTCACTGATGTTGTGACGAAACAATGTTGAATGAAATGATGTTATTTGAGGACTTCCTGTGCTGATTTTCATAGAAAGTTGTAGTACATACTATTTTAAATATTGTTTGTAATTTGGGCATGTGGAAATGTGGGTTCTATCTATCTAAATGAATATTTGGATTTAAAATATAACAGCAGATTAACGTGATTAACAGCAGATTATATTTGGATTTAAAATATAACAGCAGATTAACTTGATTAACAGCAGATTAACAGCATTATGGTTTCTTCACTTATAGAGTATATTTTAGAATGTGCTACATCCTTAAGAAATGGCCATTTTGGATACATTTCTAGAATTTTTGGGTTGAGTGGTATCTGTTTTTAAAGCTTTACATAGATATCGCTGGATTCCCCTCCAGAAAGGTGCTGCTCAATTTACACTCTTACCAGCAGTTTATAAGACAAGGTCATTCTCTTACTACCACTCTCCAAAACCACAATATTTTTACATGTCTCAACTAGTTTCATGGGAAAAGTAAGATCTTAACTTTAATTGGGATTTCTTCAATCTGGTGGCATTGAGCCTGCTTTCCTATCGAGGCCATTTGTTTTTCTCTGGTGAGAGTTCCTCCCTAGATGTCAGAGGGCAGCGAGCAGGGGGGCTGCTGGGCGCAGACTGTACCTGCCTGGTGCCCTGTGAGCGTGCATGGCCCCTGGCAGCCCTGATGTAGACCGGGCGCCTCAGATGGTGACTCAGAGCAAGAAATGCGGACGTGCAGGATGGGCCGGGAGCAAGGGCTATGCTGGGCACTCCTGCCGGCCACGGGCCTCGGGGCTGGAAGCAGGCATTGGGCTCTAAGGATTAGGAAAATTATTTTTTGAGAAGTTGGGACTTAAGGATGTTGATTAGGTGAAACATCTTTTTCCTGATGAAGGTGGAAAATACCAACATATCCTCACATTTTAATTTACTTTTATCTGTTTTTAGTATCAGACTACTGTCCCCTGTGCTCAGCCTGATACTGTTACTCATTGCGCTGGAGTTGGTCAACATTCATGCTGTTTGTGGGAAGAATGCGCATGAGTATCAGCAGTACCTAAAGTAAGTGTGTCACAGTATGTCTGCAGTCACATTGCATCGTGGGGCAGATTGCGGGTGAGCCTGTAGGAGTGAGATTGGGGCAGTGTGAGTGACACTATCCCCTTGGTGGCCCCACCGCCATCTCAGGCAAGGGTCTGACATCTGGCCTGCAAGAACTCCCACATCCAAATGTCTCAAAACCATGTTTTTTTTGTTTTGTTTTGTTTTGTTTTTTTTGGAGACAGAGTCTTGTTCTGTTGCCCATGCTGGAGTGCAGTGGCATAATCACAGCTCACTGCAGCATCGACCTCCCAGGCTCAGGTGATCTGCCACCTCAGCCTCCTGAGTAGCTGGGACCACAGCCATGCCACCATACCTGGCTAATTTTTAAATGTTTTTGTAGAGATGAGGTCTCACTATGTTGCCCTTCAGTGATCATCCCACCTTGGCCTCCCAAAGTGCTGGGATTACAGGTGTAAAAGCCACTGTGCCTGGCCAAAAACCCAATTCGTGTATGTAACAAATTGTTTCCAATTCGGGAAGTCCACTTTTAGGACCATCCCGATCTAGGAGTCTGAAGTAGTGTGACACTTGTGTGACCCACTTTACATCCAGAGATTCCAAACCAAGGAGGCTTCCGGGCAGAGGTCAAACAAGCTGTCAATCTGGGCTTGAGTGTAGCTCCAGCTCCAGTCTCCCTCGGCTGCTAGGAAGTTCTGGATATCTTGTTGGTTTTAAGCCAGTGCTTTGCAGGTGCCAGGCACCTCAGTACATGTTTAAATGAACGTGAAAATACAACTGGGGTGTCTTATGGAAAGATGCATAGACTCCTGCTGAGAGTGAGGGAGCAAACATGCAGACTGTTAGCAGCTGAGGACTCCAGCTCAGTGTGCCCCATGCTTGGCACTGCTGGCATTGTGGGCTGGTGCAAGACTGCCCTGCTCATTGTAGGACGCTCAGTAGCAGCCCTGCCTCTACCCACAAAATACCAATGGCACCCCTACCCTCCGTTTGACAGTCAAAAGTGCCCTAGACATTGCCAGATATCCCCTGGGGGATAAAATCACCCCAGTAGAGAGCCCTCCTCTAGACAAAGTGTCTGTGGCTTTTCATTATATTATCCTTTTAGCTTCTCTTTAAGTTTGAATATTTTCAAGATAAAATGCTGGTGAAAACTACCTGGCAAATGTGGAAAAAGTAAAGATGACATTTATTGTCATCAGTCAGAGTGACCCCGCTGTTAACATTTTGAGAAATAACTTAAGTAAAATCTCTTTAACAGCAACAGCTGTCTCAGTGGCACACATCTTCTCTGAGCCGGCCCCTCCATCACGGGGGATGGAAATTGGATGTGTGAGGAGGGGGAGGGCACGCTGCCCACCAGGCTCCTGACGGGGCTAAAAGGACTGGCCTGCTTGTCATTGCAGCCGAACCTTGAACGATGCAGGTTTGCACTGCACAGGTCCACTTGTCCAGGGAGCTTTTTCAGTAAATATAGTTGGTCCTCTGTATCAGCAGGCTCTGCGTCTCTTGCAAACACAGATTGAAATTACAGTGCTCTTGGTTGCAGACATCAATGTGGGAAAAAAAAACAAAACACAAAAATCTCATTGCGAAACCCACATGTTCAGGGGGCCAATTTTTCACGCTTGACTTGAGTATGCTTGGATTTTGGTATCCACTAGATGACTGTATATTGTGTGTTTATTTTGTGCTGTGTGTTTATTATATTATGTGTCAGTTTGATGCAGATGACCCCTAAGTTCCTTCCTGGAATGACGGCCGTCATGTCTGGGCTGGAGAAGAATGCTTGAAAAGGTGCTTGCGTTGGAGCCTGTCCAAGTGTCCAGTAGCATTTACATTTCAGCATTTTTGTCTTTCTTCTAATTTGTATTCTCTTATTTTTTATTTATACGGATTTATTTTTCTTGAATCCTCAGACATAAATTAACTGCAGTTTACTTTAGGAATAATTCCAAGAATGAAGTGAAGACATTTAATTCATTGTTTCATTTTATAATGGAATGGATAAAGAAATTAATTTTTTTTTTACAGGTTTGTAAAGTCGATCTTGCAGTACACGGAGAACCTGGTGGCTTACACCAGTTACGAAAAGAACAAGTGGAATGAAACTATCAATCTTACACATACAGCTTTGTTGAAAATGTGGACTTTTAGTGAGAAGAAACAAATGTTAATACATTTAGCCAAGAAATCCACAAGTAAAGTACTCTTATGAAAACTTGTAAGTCAGGATGCTTTTAATTTTAACAGATTTTAACAGCGTGTAAATTAAAAACCCAAAGACAGGGTGGAGTTGAGGGTCTGCTTGGCCAGGGTCCAGGTTCTGTTTCTCTGCAGTCATCTGATGTACCCTTTCCGAGTGGTTGGTGTGAGTCTCACTCTGCAGTCTTCTGATTTGCCCTTTCCGAGTGGTCGATGTAAGGCTCAGTCTGCAGTCTTCTGATTTGCCCTTTCCAAGTGGTCGGTGTGAGTCTCAGTCTGCAGTCTTCTGATGTACCCTTTCCGAGTGGTCGGTGTGAGTCTCACTCTGCAGTCTTCTGATTTGCCCTTTCCGAGTGGTCGGTGTGAGTCTCAGTCTGCAGTCTTCTGATGTACCCTTTCCGAGTGGTCGGTGTGAGTCTCACTCTGCAGTCTTCTGATTTGCCCTTTCCGAGTGGTCGGTGTGAGTCTCAGTCTGCAGTCTTCTGATGTACCCTTTCCGAGTGGTCGGTGTGAGTCTCACTCTGCAGTCTTCTGATGTACCCTTTCCGAGTGGTCGGTGTGAGTCTCAGTCTGCAGTCTTCTGATGTACCCTCTCCGAGTGGTCGGTGTGAGTCTCAGTCTGCAGTCTTCTGATGTACCCTTTCCGAGTGGTCGGTGTGAGTCTCAGTCTGCAGTCTTCTGATGTACCCTCTCCGAGTGGTCGGTCTGAGTCTCAGTCTGCAGTCTTCTGATGTACCCTTTCCGAGTGGTCGGTGTGAGTCTCAGTCTGCAGTCTTCTGATGTACCCTTTCCGAGTGGTCGGTGTGAGTCTCACTCTGCAGTCTTCTGATTTGCCCTTTCCGAGTGGTCGGTGTGAGTCTCAGTCTGCAGTCTTCTGATGTACCCTCTCCGAGTGGTCGGTGTGAGTCTCAGTCTGCAGTCTTCTGATGTACCCTTTCCGAGTGGTCGGTGTGAGTCTCAGTCTGCAGTCTTCTGATGTACCCTCTCCGAGTGGTCGGTGTGAGTCTCAGTCTGCAGTCTTCGGATGGACCCTTTCCGAGTGGTCGGTGTGAGTCTCAGTCTGCAGTCTTCTGATGTACCCTTTCCGAGTGGTCGGTGTGAGTCTCACTCTGCAGTCTTCTGATTTGCCCTTTCCGAGTGGTCGGTGTGAGTCTCAGTCTGCAGTCTTCTGATGTACCCTTTCCGAGTGGTCGGTGTGAGTCTCACCCTGCAGTCTTCTGGTTTACCCTTTCCGAGTGGTCGGTGTGAGTCTCAGTCTGCAGTCTTCTGATGTACCCTTTCCGAGTGGTCGGTGTGAGTCTCAGTCTGCAGTCTTCTGATGTACCCTTGCTGAGTGGTCAGTGTGAGTCTCACTCTGCAGTCTTCTGGTTTGCCCTTTCCGAGTGGTCGGTGTGAGTCTCACTCTGCAGTCTTCTGATGTACCCTTTCCGAGTGGTCGGTGTGAGTCTCAGTCTGGCTTCCTTTGTGGTGACCAAGTGCTGTTGTAGTTTTTGGTTCCATCTCCCCGTAACACACCGTCCAGAGGAAGAAGGGAGAGCTGCTGTCACTCAGAAACGCGTGGCTCCTTGGTTACTGGCCACATGCCTACCCTTGAGAACGATTGCTGTGGCCGGGACCCTACCCTGCATTCACCGGCCTTGGGAGATGTTGACTCCTGGACCAGCCATCAGGGCAGGGAGGGTGAGGCCCTGAGGCTGAGGAGAGGACTGATGCAATTTAAGCTTCCTGGGTCAGTGCTGGAGACCAGCTCCTGAAAGGGGAGGTGGGCAGGCACGGGTGCTGGGCAGCAGCCTCCTGGTCAGCATTTGGCAAAAAAAGAAGCCCTTCCCTGTTTTTAGATGTGGGGGTTTCAGTGCAGGGTCTGGGAGAGCTGGGGGAAAGGAGATTAGGGAAGCTGCCATTCATAGGCCCTGCTTGAAGAAGCAAGTGTGTGACTCGAGGGTTCCTGCAGCCGCTGCAGCTCTCGAGGGTGCCTGGGACCCCCACTGTCAGAGTTGGCAGCTGCAAAGCTGGGGCTTTCCGGAAGCCTCTGGGCGGCCGCCCTGACCTCATGTCTGCTTGGGCATGGGCCACCTCACCCCACCCTCTGTGAATCACTGCTTCTCTTTTTCCACCTTCCAAACCTTGACAGGGTGCAGCTGGCAGTCATCTAAGGACTGGCATTCTGTGGCTGCTTCCGCTCAGGAGACCTGGGGGCCGTGGGTGGCAGCAGAGCTGAGCATGTGCTGTTTGTGCTCTGCCAGCTCAGCTCTGGCCCCTCTTAAACACCACCTCTGGGTAAGCGTGACACTTCTGGCTAATGTGATGCAACTTTCTCTTGTACAATTGAAGATGGTTCCTCCTCTTCCCAAAAGTGGAGACACAAAGCACAAATCCCATGTGTCAGTATTCCCACTCTGGGACTGTTCTTTTATAGCGCGGTCACACCTCTCTCTGATACACTTGCATTTAGATGGTGACGTAGGGTTGACCATCCTGCTAGTGGTGGTGCTGGGATGGGAAGAGGGAAAGAAAGAACTGACTGGTAGAGTTATCGCGTAGATACTGGTGTGTCTTACCATTGCAATGAGGAGACCGCACAGAGCTGCTGCATGCACTGTTTTTGCAACCTGATGATCTGGCAGAAGTTTGTGTTTGAAAATTCCCTTTTTGCCACTGTTCCATGTTCCTTTCCTCTGCCTGTCTGGGTTGTGGTTTTTCACCCGGTGAGTTAACCCAGACCTCATTCCTGACAGGTCTTTTCCATTACAAATCTTTCTCGTTTTGGGTAACTGTAGGTTTCCACTAACTTATCACTGGACTTGGGAATACTAAGAGGTTCCCTAGAGAATCCCCTAAATTTCAGACCCTCCTCCTGGCCCCCCATTCTGTGGTAGGAGCTGTGTTTCCCCAAGACAGTTGAGAACAGTCATCTGGCCATAGCAGCAAACTCTTCTGGCTCATTGGCACAAGGCATCCAGTGCGGCTGGGTGGCAGCCTCCGCCTGCAGGACAGTGAGCACCTCGTGTCTCTCTGTGGAAGCATCCAAGGAATGAAGACACCCAAACCAGCAGAGTCCAGAATTGTGAGCGGAGAATCCAAACCTTGCTAGTGGTGCGGGGGCGTAATTAGAGGAGCCATTCCCGCTCCACATGCGCCTCCACCTGTGTTTTCCGGCCATGGGAGAACCCACACCACATGCTGACCGATGGCTCGGAGTGCAGGGCACGTCTTGGGCAACCCAGCAGCCCCCGGGGCGCCTTGTCACAGCCAGCACTGCCCGGTGCTTGGGAGGCTCCCCGAGGTAATGTGTGTGCTGGGATCACGATTACCACGAGCCTCACTGCTGAGCTCTGCTTGAAATGGGTCTCCTGGAAGCAGTTCTGTAAGCAACCTTGCAGCAGATGAGGCTTCTGTGAGCCAGGTGCGGTGGCCAAGAGGCGTCTGTCCCTCTGAACACATGGCCCGATGTGCTTGGGGGCTGGCTCTTCTTTCCAGGTGAGTTTTTCATGCTAGGAATTGTGTTGGTCTCTCCCATTAGCAGATTTATACATTTAGCAGTGGACCTTAGCCAGACTAGCCTTGGAATGAGGATGCCCACGCGGTCGGAGCCATTGACAACGTCCTTCACTGCCTCTACGGCCACTTTGTTGATGAGAACGTTGAGCAAGCAAGGCTGGGTGGCTGGAGAGAAAGGCTAACATGCATGAGGCAGCCATCGTGCCACCTGCCTACTGAGAGCATGGGCCCCCTCCCCCGCTGTTCTTTAGGGCCACTCAAATGGGTTAGAACTTTGCCAATTTTCACCTTCAAGTGGTGTCAGCTGTCAGCATCTTTTACAGCAATCGAGTCTAACTTTTAATTCAGGTGAGTGATCCTAGGGAAGTCCCCATGAGGCCAGTAGGTGCGTGGTGAGGGGTGCTGTCCCTGCAGCAGTGTGGGCCTGAAGAGCGTCGGAACCACTTGCTTGTATCTTGTGCTCCAGAACATGCCAAAGCCTAATCTGTGTGTGCGTGTGCATGTGCATGCATGCTCGTGTGTGTGTGTACACCTATATGCCTATTAAATATATACATCTTGCCTGAATGTAATGATGACATGCTCCCGCTGTTGCCTCCCCTGGTGACGTGACAGGTCAGAAAACGCAGTCTTTGGTGGTCCGCTTAAGCTCCAGCTAGCTGTCACTAGCTGTGCGATGGTGAAGTGTAGATGTTCGGTATCCATCAGGGCCTAGAGGACAAGCTGAGAGCTGGTTCTCAGATTAATAATTATCTGCAGAAGAGGGTGTGGTTTTGTCCCAGAACCCTAGGGGTCTGTGCTCTGGGCCTGTCTGTGGCTCTGCCATGCATCATGGGATCTAATTGCCACCGTGGCCCGACAGGGAGACCAGCTTTTACATCAACCTGCTCTGGAGGCTTTGGTCTTTCTAGGCCTCATGCAGAACTGGCAGTTTGTAGGTTAATTGGAAAGTGAGCAGAGTAGCGTGTGTGAGTCTGGTGGATGTTGGTTGCAGAGCTCCAGAGAGACTCAGAGTGCCTGCCCCTCTCTAGTGCCAGTGAATGCGAGCACAGCAACCTGTCCTCCCCCTCGCGGAGTGCATCCACACCTTCCTAGATCACAGGCCCTGGAAACTTCAGAGCAGCAGCCCTGTGCATTCTTATGAGAGTTACGTCCCACCCCAGGTGGTCATAATGTCACCAAAACAGTGGGGTGTCTTGTTTCCTGTCCACATCATTAATGTGATGCTCCATGGTGGCATCCTGTGGAATGGCAAGATAGCCGGCAGCCCTGAGCTCTAGGTTGTGTGGAGGAACTGGAGAGGTAGCACAGCCCTGATGCATGCCCACCAAGGCTGCTGCTGTCCCTGCCAGATGAGAACAAGACAGCTTCTGGACGTGAGTTTGCAGGATACAAAACCCCAACCCATATCCGTAGGTATAGAGAAAAATCATCTGCCAGATCAGTGGCTGCAGACCAGAGATCCGGGACTATATCTATTTGTTCCAATAAAGAGACCACATCTGAAGTAGCAGATGCTCAGGCTCCTGGGCCAGGGCCTTGTGTCCCAGGGAGGCTCTGCTGTCTTGAGTGGCGGCTCTGTTCCCTGCAGGTGCGTGGGCAGCCATGCTGCTGGGCTGCCTGACCTTCCCTTGGTATTCTTTCCCCTGTTGCCCATCCTGCTTCTGATGAACACTTCCTTGGTCAACTGCAGTATATGTCCATCCCAGTTACAGTCACATCATAAATGGCTACAATTGGTTGTTTTTCCTTAAACAGTGTTACATATCTCTGTTCACAATTGAATTAACTTAGAGTTTAACCCTTAAGAGGCAAATGTCTTCTGTTCTCACCTTCCGGAGGGATCCGGCCACATTGACCATCTTGCTAGCAGGGGTCACAGGTGTAACAAGAACGGATTTCTGCTGGCTGGTGGTCCACGGTGTAGCATGGCTCGGGGGACCCAAGAACTCGATGGCAAAGCTGCTTCAAATTCTCCTGCATGCTTGCTCTTTTCTTTTTGCCCTTTTTCTTCTTTCTTCCCCTTCCTTCCTCTCCTTCTTCCTCTCCTTCTTTCTCTCCTTCTTCCTCTCCTTCTTTCTCTCCTTCTTCCTCTCTTCCTCTCCTTCCTCTCTTTCTCTTTCTCTCTCTCTTTTCCTTTCTCTTCCCCTCCCCTCCCCTCCCCTTCATCACCTAGGCTGAGGTGCAGTGACACAATCATATCTCACTCCAGTCTCTAACTCCTGTGCTCCCATGCTTTTTCTTTTCTTCCTTTCTTTCTCTCCGTTTTTGTTTTTGTTTGTTTGTTTGGTTTTTGAGACGGAGTTTTGCTCTTGTTGCCCAGGCTAGAGTGCAGTGGTGCGATCTCGACTCACTGCAACCTCTGCCTCCCAGGTTCAAGCGATTCTCCTGCCTCAGCCTCCCAAGTAGCTGGGATTACAGGCATGTGCCACCATGCCCAGCTAATTTTGTATTTTTAGTAGAGATGGGGTTTCACCATGTTGGTCAGGTTGGTCTTGAACTTCTGCCTCAAGTGATCCACCCACCTTGGCCTCCCAAAGTGCTGGGATTACAGGCATGAGCCACTGTGCCTGGCCTTTATTTTCTGTCTCTGCTGGCTGGCTGAATACCGTGAGCAGACCAGAATTACTGGAGGCAAGGGAGAAATGGAAAATTAGCTAAATTTGTGTTCCTTCAAAAGCAATGATGAAAACAATTATTTTCAAAGAGCAACAGCAAATGTTGGTCCAAATTCACAAGTGTTCATCTGACAGGCCATATTGGAGAGTAAAGGTAATTGTGCGTGGGCCTTCTGAATGCATGGACGTGGAATTTAGCTACAGGATGAATGTTCTCCTGCTTCCGTAAGTTGTTTTGATGAGACATGAAGACATGTTCTGAACAATATTAGAAGAAAGCATCACCTTGGTACATCTGGCACCTGCCCTGCCCCCGACCTTTTCCTGAGTGAACAGAAGCCACGTCCCTTTTTAAATTAAGTGATGGAACAGCCTGGCCTGTTCCATGTCCTTGCTGCTGTCTCCCGTGCTCGCTCCTCTGGGGCTCCAAGCATGTGGCTGAGAATCCATTTGGGACATCCGTTCCCCATCCCTGCCTGTCTCTATCATTAAACAAAGTGAAGATAGTCTGATGTGACTGGCTTTCCAAACTCTTACTTGGATTCACTGTAATGTAGACTAAACAAATGGCTTAAAATTCACTGTTTGCAGAGACCTTATCCTCTGCTCCACTCAGTAGAGACATGACCTGCCCCTCGAATCTCTGCTCATTCCACTGCCTTCCTGACAGGCATGTGCGCAGCTTCAGGAAGCTCTCTGAGGTCAGAAACCCTGTCCTTTTACCTGTTTGCACCCCCTCTTTGTGTGTCCTGAATATTTTTACTACCTTAAATGTGGGTTCTTTTCCCCACAACATTTGTTTTAAATAATTTTAAAGCTACAGAAATGTTTCTAGAATAGTCCAATGGATTCCCACATGACAGTTCAACTATCGTTGGCATTTTGCCACACTTATTTTCCCCTTTTAAGTACACATATATCATTCTTTTGACTGAACCATTTTGAAAGTTAGTCATTGTGATGTGATGTTTTGCCCCCAAATACTTGAGCATTCATCTATTGAGAACAAAATCATTCCCCTTCAGTTATCAAATGGAGGAAATTTAACAATAACACAGCACCATTATCTAATACATGGTCCATATAAAATTTTTCCCAGTGTGTATAATAATATCGTTTATACCTTCATTTATACCTGTTGTTTGTTTTTATCCAAGCACCACAACTGCTTTTAGTTACTATATCTTTTATTTTTAAAATCTGGAATAGCTCCCTTTTTGTTTTTTTTCTTTCTGTGTCAGAGACATTTTTGAAGTATTTATGTCACCTTTACAGAATGTTCATCAATTGGCTTTTGTTAGATTGTTTCCTCAAATTTGACAGTTTTAAAGAAACACTGCATCCATGATACTGTCTGAACCAGTGCATCACATCAAGACACATGATTGACACAATAATGCTGTGTGCCACTCGCTGCATCACAGCAGGACACATGAGGCACATATGTGCTGCTGTGCATTCCTCAGTGAATATTGCAGGACGTGTGGGTGGGGCCAGGTGTTGTCAAGGTCCCGGCAGGTCGCTCTGCCCTCTAAACACAATGGCTGGATGGGCGGTGGACACCTGCTCTGCGGAGCCTGGGCAGCAGCTGAAGATGATGTGGGGAGGGGCTGCTCAGCTGGGGCTGGAAGGTGAGGACAGGGCTGGGCTGGCCGCCTTGTGGAGATAGCAGGACTTGTTGAGGGAAAGTCAGGCCAGGGATGCAAACCAAAGCCTGAGGAGAAACTGCAGGGCCGTGCATGGCCTCAGCTCCCTTTCTGAGGCTCCGTTGATGTGAGTGCTTTCAACAAGCCCTCCAGGGAATCTCTGCTGCTTGCAACCAAAAAGTAGTGACCACTGGAAGAGCCAGCCCCTGCGAGAGGACAGAGGCATGGCCGCCATCAAGAGGCAGGCAAACCCCAGAGAAGGAGGCCACGGACTTGGCAGTGGACGACCGGTGTGCGATCTCAGTGCCACAGGTTACTGGTTTTGTGGCAAGATGTGTACCTGCTGACAGCATGGCTTCCTCGTCTGCAGAGTGTGACAGTGACATTCCCTGCCTCATTAGACGTTAGGATACAGTGAGGCGCCGTGCTCAGCCCCATTCTGGCACGTAGCATCGATAAACACCAGCTCTTACCGGACCGTTCCCTTATGCTGGGAGGAAAGAAACGATTTGGATTTCCTCTGTCTAGAAGTCCAGCTATCTGCATGTGTGTTCAGAGGACGTTCTCGTATCTCAGGAGTGAAACCAAAGCATCCTGTACATCTTTCCCCCACCCCCACTCATAGCCTCGGATTCTCTGCACAGCTTTAGTAAAGGAGCTGATGGGGAATCGGATGCCTGACCCCGAGTCCTCACTCTGGGGCTCGAGCTTAGGATAACTTCAGGTTCAGCTGAGGCCTCTGAACTGTGACTCCGCCCCGTGGCCGCATGCGTCGGAACTCCTACCTGCCCTTTGCCCTTCTCGAGGCCGGTGCTTGACTGGAGGAGGGCTGGCAGCAGAAGTGCAGCTGACCGGGTTGCGTTTTCGTACGGCTGACTAAAGCGGATACCGGTGGCGACTCATTTCTCGTTTTATTTTTCAACGATTTGGCGGAGAAGCTCCTCTTGTGAATGGACTTTGGATTTCTTGGAGCTGCGCTGCGGGTCCCACAGTGTGGCTTTCGGCCCGTGCTGTGCTGGCGCCTGCACTTCCTCTGGCGGGGCACGGGGTGGCGCTCCCTGGTAAAGCAGCGGCCAGGGGGAGCCGTGAGTGAGGCGCTGCCTCTCCCGCTGAAGCGGGTTCCAAGGCCACCGTGAGGGGGACCATCCATCCAGGTAAAACGTGTTCTTTCCTTGTTCCTTTGCGAATCGATGGGGATCAGGCTTCCCCAGGTGGTGAAGTGAGGAACAGGGACCGCGGGGCTCGCCTGACCAGTGGGGTCTCCATCCTTGTCCGTGCTGACAAAAGACAAGAACAGACAGCGCCTGAAATCTTCCCGCCTCCGTGAGGGAAGCCTGCGTCTGGGAACGCGCCGCAGGGAAGTGATCCCTGAGTGAGGGAGGAGGTGCCGGGGCATCATTAATCAGACCTCAATGCCGGGAAGGTTCTTTGTTTAAAGAAACACTCATGTTTAAAGAGCACTTGGTGCGGACTTGCTGTGGCCATCGCCCTCAACAGCTCATCTTTAGGAGGTGCAGGCTGAATTCACGCCTCGGTGTCGTCCATGTCTGCCTGCCGCGCAGAGGAGACAGCGAGAGGCCTTCCCACCGCACGGCTTTTACGGGAAGCTCTTCGCATTGGCTACAGGGGTGTGGTTTGGTTTATAGCCACACCAAGTAATTTTAATAGAACTCAATAACTGTGTTGCCTTGCAGGCTCCGAGTGCTACAGGCAGACCCGAGTCCGAGTCTTCCTACGGTTCATTGTCCCCCCCTGGATTTCCTAGGGACTCCAGATACGATGGCATCGATGTCAGTTAACTTGGCACTTCTTAAAATAGATCTATGATCAAATCTTAAGTTTTTCCGAATAAGACTCTGGAGGAATGCAGGAAGGTCATTTGATTACTTTAAAATAAGAGGATTTTATGTTAAAATATTGAAAAAGCCAGTCATAAAACTAAGCTCTGTACCAATGAATATAGTTCGCGAAGCCAGCAGCACAGGCTTATTATTATAAATATCAAACACCACCATTATGAGTAAGCTCATTTATTTTCAAAGCACTTTGCGATCATTAATTGTTCACGTCTGTGAATACCCCCTGAGAGACAGTATTATTAACTGCATTTGAAAGGAAGAAAACTAAGGCACAGAAAACCCGTAATTCATTGTCCTGAGGGGAAAAGGAGACACCAGGAACACGGCTGTCCTTTCGCTGCATCTTCTCTTTGGTAGAGATCCAGGGACATCTGGAACATCCACCCTCTTTCTCCCACTCACGGCCATGCCACCACCTAGTGCCTCACTGACATTTCCTCTCAATCTCAGGATAATCACATCGATGTAACACTTGGCAGGTTTGTTATCTCAGTGTCTATTATCTCAAAAATTAATCCTAATAGCAACCTTAGAAAGAGGCAATATTAGCCCCATTTCATAGGAAAATGAAGGATCAGTGAGAAAGTGACAGGTCTGTCACTGGCAGTGCAGGGCAGGGCCATTGTGGTGAGTCAGGCCTCGGCTGCAGGTCTGAGTTTATGCCATTGCCCCCATCTGTGGGGTCTAGGAGGCTGTTGTCTAAGCAGAAGGCATGACCCATCAGGGGCCATGGGTGGTGGGCACAGAATTGAGTCATCTGACTGCCTTCCCACCCACCTGTATGTGTTCTTTGTTTTATTTAAGTCCTGTGAGGGTAGTTTAGGACCTTGTCCCTTCCCACAGCATAGCACAGAAAATTGGGCAAGTCCAGACCATGACTAAATCCACTTTAAAAAACCCACCCCCGCTGAGACCGGCGGATTCTCTCCCTCCCCACTTGAGATATGATGTTGCCTTAAATGGTCCAGCAGTCGCGGAGCCTCAGGGGGCCTCTCTGCCTTAGTTGGTGCATTCCAGTGCTGCTCGGTCTGTATTTCCAGATCTTGCTTTTATCCTTTTATTTTCTAGAGTAATTGATAATTCCAATCTATCTGGCCTGCATGAGATTTATAAAATAAATGGACAAAATAGAAAATAAATATTTTATGGAGCCACCACTGTGTGCAAGACATTCTGCTAGGGAGGCTGAAGGGTCCCACAGCTTCTAAGGACCGGTCCCTGGCCTAATGGAGCTCACAACAGATTGAGAAGGGAGGAGGGACACCGCTGACACAGCCCACGCTGCCCAGTGCCGGGTGCAGGAGAGGCAGTGGATGCAGGGGATTGTGGGCAGGGTGTGCTGGGCCTGGGCCCTGGCTCCCTTTGGGAGCCTCATGGCCGCTCTGCTGTCTTCCTCCGTGCATGGCCTGGGCCGCATTGTGTGCTGTGGAGTTATTGGATCAGACCTGGATGCTGCAACCCAAGGAGAGAGAGGAGGACAGAGCCCAGGAGAAGAACAGCACTCGGCAGCCTGACCCCTAAAAACCAAACACAACAGAAACCAAGCCAATGGCGATGGTTGAGAAGAACCAAGCCAGCGTGTAGGGGAGGCTAGGGTGGCACCCTGGGCATCCAGGGTGGAGGGACTCGAGGAAAGGAATGACCGGAAACACAGCTGGGGAGGCCCGGAAGGCCGGGGGCTCAGGCTGAACTCTCTTGGGGTTCCCAAGGGGCTGACGGGGAGTGAATTGTCAGAGGTGGTCAGAGCCACAGATTCCTGGGGGACATGTACTGTGGCTCAGGATGGAGAAAAGGTGGGCTGAGGTCGGGACGGTCGGTGCAGGTGGGTGCACGAAGGCGTCTGGAGGAGGAGAAAGCTTTACAGCCAATGTCCTGGAGGGGCCGCAGACAGGAGGCACCAGGTGCTGGAAACCCCAAGCTGTTCCTTTTCATCGACGAAGAGGGGAGTGGGAAACATAGGGCGAATTTCAGAGTCTACTGTAAAGAGGAAGGATTTACCTGCCATGGTGTTGCTGGGTGATCTGGGCAAAGCTAGGGGAGCTGGTTTATGAGAAGTGAAGAGATAGGGTGGGGAGGAGGAGATCTGGACCTGGGCTTGGGAAATGTGAGGGGATCCAACTGCGAGAGACCAGAGGCACCCTCAGGACAGTGGAGCCCAGTTCTTTTCTCTGCAAATAAATCTCAGTTTTCCACATCTCAACATGTGAGGCAGCTCACCCTAGTTTCTTGTTCTTTCTCTAAGAGAGTTTGGCCTTCCATTGCCTACAAATGGGAGAAAAGCTAATGGGGCTCACGTACATGGAGGGGAGTTCAGGATGAGGCTGGTGGTTCAGGCATCCTGTGAGCCCAAGGGGATGCCACCGGCCTTGTGGTGCTTACAGAGACATGCGGCAGCTGTGATCCACATTGAGGGTGAGAAACAAGTGTGAGACTACAGACACCTGAGAGGCACTGTGGGGGCAGCACCCCGCAGGCAGAGGCAAACGGTGGGCCTGCGGTTTCCCTTCCCATCTGGTGTCTGCTGGTGGCTGGCAACCCCATGCCAAGACCTTTGGTGCCTGCGCTGTCCCCACCCCCTTTTACCCAGGGCCCCTGATGTGCTCGGCTCTGCCTGGCATGAATCCCAACAACTCACCCTGCCTCCTGCTTGTGCGAAATGTGCAAACGTGAACTTGCCCAGTATTGAAGAGCTCAGGACCTTGAGTTCCGAGAGCCAGGGAGGAATACTTTGTTGTTCTTTAGACCCAACAAGCCAGATCTGTTAACGCCAAACCTTCATTCCCAAGACAACCCTCCCTTTTGATGGCCCTAAGGTGCTGCCCCCTAATTTCATGACTTCTGCCACTGCAAAAGCTTCCCAAATTCGTACTGAGGCCACGCCTTTCAGAGTGGATGCACGAAGGAGGGCGGTTCATCGGAAGTGAATCTGAGATTAAACCCATGTATCTTAGCTCCCCAGTGCTCCCCTTCATCATTTCTAGAACATACGTAATAGCATGTCCTGGTCTTCTTGGTGGTCTCCTTAGGGATATAGGGGAAGGGCAGTTTTCATATCAACTTTCTTTATGTTACCATGAATTAGCTGCTTGCTGAATAAACTTCTCAGACAAAAATCCCACACTTCCCGAGTATTCGCCCTTCCACACCACAGTCACTTGCTCTAGTGTTTGCACACAGTTACATTATTATCAAAACTGCAGTTCAACTAAATGCTCCAAGTGCAGGTGAAGGTCTGTCCTCAAGGTGCTGCTTGAAGCAGGTGACTGGAACAGTTCCAGGTCCCTGCTGTTCTGGGGTGTCAGCATCAGCTCCGTTCAGGGGTGACAGACAGCAAGGCCCCAGCCGGGAGAGGCCAAGGGGACGGGAGTGAGAGGGAGAGCTCAGAGGCAGGGCAGGAGCCTCAGGATGGGAGATGCCAGGGCCTTGGCAGGCGGCCACCCCAGGACCAGGCAGGCTCCCCAAGCCAGGGGTTCTTTCCCTTCCAAGAGCAGGACTGAAAGGAGGCTCAGGAGTAAGGGGCAAGGGCGGATGGTGGCAGGTGCAGGGGGTGAAGGGGCCCCGCCTGGGAAAAGATGGCAATGGAGCTCAAGGAAATAGAAGCAGCTACGTTGCCACGGTGGCCACAGTGCAGGAGCAGGTGCTGCTGGGGAGCTGGGCCCCAGGCTTTATCTACACTGTCTCACCGTAAGTCCGCTCCCGACTTGGCACCATTGTCTGACTCCACACATTGCCATAGCCCTGTCAGGCAGGTGCTTGCAAAGGCCACAGAGCTGTTGAGTGGGTGCAGGAGGGAAGCACACCAGGAATTTGGCCCTGGTCTGAGGCTGCAGGGGACAGCTGGCTGTGGTCAGCAGGGCCCGAACCCCGGCTCTGGAGCCTGCAAGCCACCCTGAGGGTGCAGAAATCTGAATGTCTGGGGCCATGTGCAGAGTGTGGCCAAGTCGTAGCTGTGGCTTCAGCATTCAGAGCCTCTGCCTCTACTGGGGATTAATGCAGGTTTCCAACATCTCTGTGTTTGGTCAGTGCTGATCTTTTTCCTAACTGGCGACTTATTGGTTCCAGGAGAGTACTGGGCAGGCTGCAAATGTCTGTGTTAAAACAGCTCTGCTGGGCTAAGACAGGACAGAAGCAGACAGCAGGTGGATGAGACACAATTTCCTATCCAGCAGAACCTGCAGCAAGCTCCACAGCACCCTCCATGGGCTCAGTCTTGCTCCCGGGAAGATGGTTAATTCCATCAGGTCAGTATTTCCACACCTCCCGAGCCTCCACTTTCCTCTATGTGTTCTCTGAAACCCACCCCCCTGGGCTTGCCACTTAGATGATTCCAGAATTGCCTCACCACCCTTTACTTGCAGAACCTGGCCTTCATGTTATGGGGATGATTAGGAAAGAAAGTTGCTTCAGGAAATGGCCAGAAAGGGGTTCCACAGAACTGGCTTATGAAATAGTTTTGCAGAATCTGTAATTAGTAAGCTGGAAACAAAGGCAAAAGAAAAAACAGAAAATCTTATTGTAGAAAACATGCTTTGCAGTGTTTGAAAAGGCTGTTCTTGTTAAATTAACCCATTAATAAATACAAACCACATAATATTTGCTTTTAAATTATTGTCTGTAGTGTCAAAATAACTGGTCTATGAAGCCAGTGGGAGTCTGTCTAGTTGGAAAATAGTAGTATTTATTCTTTGAGGCCCCAAACATAAAAGAAAGTGTTGTTTAAATAAAAACATGGTGTGTGAGCATGAGAGGTGAGTGGACAATGGGAAATTACTTAATGAGTACAATACTCATCTTTTGGGTGAACACTAACAGCTCAGACTTTAGCACTGTGCAACATATCCATGTAACAGAATTACACCCGTACCCCATACATGTATAGAAATAAAAAAGATGCATCATAAACTGAACAAAACAGCCTATGATATATCTTGAAGAAATCATGCTTTAAAAATGATAATTTCATTATTGTATGGGAGAAAACTCACATGGCTCATAAATGAAAAACATGAAAAGCATTCAGTATAGTCTGTTCTCCATCCACATCCTCCTCTGCCTGGTTTCATTACACTCCTGTGTGTAACAAAGTCTTTCTTATTGATTTCTAGGAACTCTTTATATGTGGCACTAAGGGCATGAGTTATGATTAGGTTTTTGTGCGTCCTTAGAGCTTCCTGATGCAGATGCAAACACACAGGAATATGAGTGCTCACCTTCATCTTCTCTGTGTTTTACACAAATGGTGGCAGATTACATGCACTTTACCACACCTTGCTCTTATAAATTGGATAATCCCCCCTATGAGTACATGTAGCATTCCATTTTCTTACAGCTGTGGAGTATTTCAGTACCACACTGTATGGGTGGTTGGTGTTGATAGACACAGATTCTTTCAAATCTTTTGTTATAACAGATAATGCTGTTATCTTGCTAATATACCATTTTGCAGCCATCTTTGGAATCAGTCCCTAGGAGTGACATTGCTGGGTCAGAGGACACACATCTTTGTAATTCTGTAGGTGTTGTCAAATTATCCTGCATGCGGTCATGTGATTCGCTCTTCCCAGGCATGAAGGCCACTACTTCTCCACGGCTCCCTACCTGCACATCAGGAATGTCTTCTGACATTTGCTGATTGAATAGGTTTCCTATTATATTATTAGTAAGGCTGAGCATCTATTTAGTTTCTTTTCACTGGACCATTCCATCAAAGTTTTTTGCCTATTGATCTATTGAGTTTTTTTAATCTTTTTCTTATTGATTTTTTGGAGCTTTTAATATATTAAGGATGTAAGTTGTGATAAGAGGTGAAAATACATTCTTTTCCTCAGTGTCTGTCTTGATTTCTTAATTTGCTGATGGTAGTTTTTCATGCAGAAATTCCTATTTTGAGGTAGTTTAACTTATAAATTATTTTACTGCATTTGGATTTTTCAGTTTTAATTTAAAAAATCATGGAATTTGTCCATGATTTCTGTTAGTATTTTTATGGCTTTACTGATAACATTTAAATATTTTATCTATTTGAAATTTATTTTTATATACATGGTGGGACATGGGTGCAACTTTCATCTTTTATTATTTATTTTGCTGAATGCTACTCAGTTGTCCTAATGCCATTTATCACATAGTTTTTTTCACTAACAACTTTAGATGTCACTTTTATGACTTACTAATTTCCCTCCTATTTTTGTGTCTATCTGTATTTCCTGTGCTTTTCTGTTGTTCTGTGTGTTTATTCATGACCCAGTACAACAATGTTTTAGTTATTAAAACTATTATATGATCTAAGAACTGGTAAGGCTAATTTTCTCTTTACTCTTTTTTTTTCTGGATTTTCCTATTTTTGTTTGCTTCTTTTTCTATTTGAATGTTAGAATCAGATTGTCTAGTTCTCACCTCACAGTAAAATAAATTAACAAATAAATAAAATACAAAGATCCAGAAAAACCTCAGTCTATTTTTATTTAGGTGCATTCATTTACATAATAAGTCAGGGAAAGTTGGCATTTTATGATGTTGAGTCTTCCTAGTCGAGAACATCATAAGTCTTTCTATTTGTCCAAGTTTTCTTTTATAAACTTTCGAGGGTGGATAAAAATGTATCTCATATAGATGTTAACTTTCTTGTTAAGTTTATTCCTGGGAACTTTTTCTTGCTAATTAAATGGGAGTAATTTCTTTTGTTATATCTTCTAAAGCTATTGGTTTCTGTATATCAATTTTATCCCTACATCTTACTAATTTTCTTATTATTTGTTGAAGAAATTAACTTGATATTGTCTTTTGGTTTGAGATAGGTGTATCTTACCATGTTATGAAAATACTTATCAAATCCTATTTTATTAAGTTTTTTAACGCTAAATTTCATCAGATACGAAATGCAGCTTTTATACAGATTATCTTATTTTTTTTAAATCTTGGATCTGTTCAGAGGAATTACCCATAATCAGCTTTTGCAAATATTTTCTAAAGTTTTTGAATTTGATTTTCACATACAAATGTGTTTGGTTGTTGTTTACAGCATGTGTCATTCAAAACCCAATTTTTCATAAGGATGCCATGTTTTCCTAAGCATTTGGAGTTCCACAGCATCTTGAATTCGTTTAACAAAATGTTATAGAAGAAAAAACTTAGAATTAGTACAGTTGTGTCATTATTTAAAAGCTAACATTTTTCTCTGAGCTTGAAAAATAATAGATACCTTTTCTAGTGAAGAAAGCACCTTAAATTCTTTCTTGAACAAAGTATGTGTGTGTGGATGGAGGAGTAGGTTCGTAGGCAGATAGATTAGATAAACATTGTCAGTAAATTTAAATGGACATGATGCACACTTTAAACTCTCTCTGAAATAAAATAATGAGAAGTAAGAAATCCGAGCCCACAGATACTGGCCTGTTCAGGTGGTCCTGCTGAAGCACTGTCTCCATGGAAAGAGGAGTGCCAGAAGGAAGGACTGAGGAGACACAGCAGTGAGTCCACGTTCTTCCCCGAAACAACATCATTTCCTAAGCTTATTTATCACCTTTTAATTCTACAGAATCACATTGTGATTTTATAGTGACTAAGGACCAAGAGTAGAAATGTCTTATCTCCAAGGCATGGAGCAGGCACTTACCATTTAAAGGAAGCAATCTTCAGGCTTTTACAGGATATTGATCTCTTGGGAATGTCAGCAGGGGCACAAGGAGAGCAGTCGATGCGTCTGGACTCATAAATTGCTCACGTTACATCCAATATGCAGTGTATGATATGACGTGTCATGGAGGTGTCTGCAAAGGCACCACAAACACCAACATCTGGGTTACTTATTTGTCTCCTCTGCAGTGAAGCTGGCAATAAACACATCTCCCAGAGGCTGGGGAAGGTGGGAAAGAATGATCAAATGAAAGCTGCCAAAATGAGGGCATTTTTTCTGTCTTCATGAATCATCAGCCATAAAACAACAGCAGGACAGGGGTTGCATCCTTCTCTCTGCCGCTACAACCAGCAGGTGATGGATTGGACGTGGTGGCTACAAAACGCAGATGAAGGTCAGCACTGTGTTCTGGCTGAGACTTCTCAAATTCTCACTTCACAGTTAATTTTTGTTTCAGACAATGAATGTTGTTGTTATTTTAATGATAGCATAAGTTTAAAACTTTGATGCTTCCATTTTTCAAAAAGGGCAAACCACCACTGACAATAACAAAATCCTTTAACACAACAGCACTGGGGAACAGAGCCCAGGGCTTCTCCATTTGCTGATTCTCGGCACCTCCGTCTCTGTTACTCTCTGATGTTTCTTAAAGGCTGTCATATATGCATGGGATAAATGCGGCACAGCAGAAAACCAGAAATAAAGACAATGAGAATGAAGACGAGGCGGTTCTGGACAAGGTGCTGCTCAACCAGGAGGTGGCAACAGCAGGAGAGTGGACCTCCTTCCACTGAAGCTGCGGATAAACAGGACCTTGGAGGCCAGTGAGCTCCCTGCCCCAGTAGGGACGTGGCCTGCTCTAGGCAGAGGGCAGTTGAGCAAAGGAGAGAGGCATCAAAGTAGAATGACTTCAACTTTTTTAAAGGTTGAAAAACGCTGAATAAAGGATTACTGTAAAGAGTATGGGATTGTTTATATTTGCTGAGTAATCAATACCACATATTGCTTTCACGTTGTTTGCTCAGCTCTGTTCCAGGGCACATCCAAGAAGCATGGGCATGTTTCTGTGCTCTTACAAAGCCTCCTTTCTATTAGGAAGCCTGCAGCACACACAAAACAGCCATCAGCAAGAGTGTCTGTGGCCCCAGTGCTGCCCTAGGCAGCACACGAGAGTGATGGACTTTGAGTCCCTTTATTTTCTGCTCTCTGGAAGGAGGGGTTTTAATAGAATTTATCTTTTTATATATTCTGCCTAGCATTAGAGAAGCAGACAATTTTAGTCAATCATTCAAGACCATCCTGCGACCTCAGCTTTTGTGCTTTACAACCTTGTAAAGAAACACAGCAACATAATTAATTACAATTACAGCACTGTGATGTGAAATTTCAGCCAAAAATCTAAGTCAGCCAAAAATCTAAGTCATTGCCTTTGGCCTGAATTCCTTTAGCATAATCTTAAGACAGAACACGCATGCCTGATCCAAGGGCCTGTGCACATCAGGTGCACCTCCCAGCAGGAAAGGCTCGGAGGCGTGGGCCAGGGGATCATGCAGAGTTGGGCTTTCATTCAGCATCCCCGGGAATCAGGACATTGCACTCACACACACGCTTGCCACACAGCCTGGCAGGAGCCAAGACAAGGTTGCAACACTTTCATCTTTAAGAAAGGAGTTTGAAAATATTCGCTGCAAATTAACACAACTTTTCTGGCTGGTATGTACCCACAAATGGATGCAGCTGCACCCCGGACCGACCTGGGCTCCCTGAAAGATCAGAGGGAAATGTGAGGGACAAACCCATTCAGTGCAGAGCTCTCTTTCTTCAAGCAAGGGAAAAAAGATTTCCAAATTTGAAAATGACCTTCGCACCTCCCCTCCTTTCTGTTCCCCTCTTCAGTGGAATGTTTGAACAAGCACTGATGACTCGCTCCCAAATAGCCCAGATAAGGTTTTACAAGAACAGGTGGGCCTGCTTGAAAGATAAACTTTTTCTGAAGCAACAAGAAGACAAATGATCCGAAACTTGCAATTTGGTTAATGTTTCTCTCTCTCTCTCTGCCTTGTGTGTACACAGCTCCTTCTGGCCGGCAGCAGGAAGAGTGGCCCTGTGTGTGCCAGGCCCTGCAGTCTCTCCTCTCAGCTGGTGTCTCCAGTGAGGGACCTGAGTCATCGCACACATGAGCCTGTGCTCAGCCTGCACATCTCCCGCCTCCCACCAGCTGCTCCTCAACTGCCAGGGCCAGACTGTGGCAAAATCTCACTCCTCTGCCGATGCTGGGGTTTCCCTCGTGTCTGGGAGGTGGTGTGCTTGGTGGCCTGAGCACTGCAGTGAATCCATGTTTCCCTCCCAGCACCCTGTTCTGTCCTCCAACTTGGCCGACAGCTCTGGCCAGGGACGCAGCCCAGCTGGTGCCCACCCCGCACTCTGTCCATTTCATAAGAGCCCTTGGTTTCCTCACTTCCCTCAGATTTTGCCAAGAGAATGGTCCTGGTGTGGCCCAGAAAGGCCAGCGGGGTGCAGCCTGGGACTGAAAGCAGAGGCGGCTCTGGTGGGGAAAAAGTAGCTCTCCCAGCCTAGCCCTACTGGTGGGCGGCACCTCCTGGCTCCAGGCCATCTTTTGTCCCAGTCCTAGGTAAGAAAAACACAAACAAAAGCCAGTCCCATGGCACTCGAGAAGCAGGAGGCCGTTCCCTGACAGCAACATGCTGTGTGCACAGACACACGGGTGGACAGGAGGCAGAGCTCGGGGTTGCTGCGGAGCGGGCAGGACACTGGAGCGGCAGGCAGTGCGGACCCGCCGGGCAGCCGTGCACGGTTGTCGTCCTCAGCGGCAGGAGCCAGTTTGTTGCTCAGGGCCTTGTCTTTTTACAAAGAGCCCCAGGCCCCGGGGGCTTCTCTGGGTGCCTCTTTGCTGCCATGTCTGCACGCGGGCGGAGAGCAGACCAGGCTACCGACCCTCTCGCTTTGCTGTCTTCACGTGGAAAAGCCAGTGTCGTAGCCCCAAAGGAGGGGAAACTGTATTGATTTGGGGAGCCTCTATGTTGATTTCAAAACAGATTGTCTCCTGTGTTCTCAAAGACTGGAAGCGAACCCCACAACCGCCTTAGGCCACAAAAGCTTTATCCTTTCTAATTAGCATCCCTGTGACCTGCTCTGCGCCCTGCAGATATTTTGCTCAGCCAGCCAGAAGGAGGGAGGCCAGACACCAGCCCCCACAGACCTGCGGCTGCGACCCCCTGCCTGGGGACGATGGGGTCGGGGTCCAGTAGCTGCCCCAGAAACAAGTGGGGCTGCAGGAGGCTGATGGTGAGCTTGGAGGTTGGCAGAATTCTAAATCTGGGCACTGCAGGGTCCCCACAGGTCACGACCCTACTCTGCTCCACCCAGGCTCCGGAGGACCTGAGCAGGAACCTCTGCAGGGGGGGCCCGGGGCTCCCTGTCCTCTCAGCAGCCGGCAGTGCTCCCTGACAGCCCGGGCCTCTCCCTCCAGTAGTTCGGTAGTTTGCTGTCACCAACATGGCTGGGCCTGGGACAGGCTCCTCCTCTCCCTCCAGAAGCCAGGCAGTCCCTCCTGCCTCAGTTTCTCAGACTAGGCCGCCTCTCCCATCGCGAGACACTGAAGACCCTCAGCTGTTTCCATCTGCCCAGTCTGACTGCTGGATCGCCCTCTGTGTGCGTTGGTTTGCTGTGTTCTTGCTACTCGCCCTTGGATAAGATTTCTTCTCTACTCATGAAGCTGCGTGTCCTGGAGGGCAGGGCCGCACCTCACATGCATGTTGCCCACATAGCTCAGCAACAGATGCTCTCACGCTTGTTAAAAGTAAAACCGGGCCAGGCGCAGTGGCTCACGCCTGTAATCCCAGCACTTTGGGAGGCCGAGGTGGGTGGATCACCTGAAGTCAGGAGTTTGAGACTAGCCTGACCAACATGGAGAAATCCCGTCTCTACTAAAAATACAAAAAATTAGCTGGGCGTGGTGGCACATGCCTGTAATCCCAGCTACTCGGAGGCAGGAGAATTGCTTGAACCCAGGAGGCGGAGGTTGCGGTGAGCCAAGATCACGCCATAGCAATTGCACTCCGGCCTGGGCAACAAGAGCAAAACTCTGTCAAAAAGAAAAAAAAAAAAAAAAAAAAGTAAAACCAATTAGCCAATGTAAAGGAGTTTAACTGAGCAAAGAGTGATTCACAAATCAGGCAGCCTCCCGACCCAGAGTGGACTCAGAGACTCCAGCACAGCCATGTGGTGGAAGAAAATTTAAGACCGAAAAAGGAAAGAGATGTACAGAAAATGGAAATGAGGTACGGAAACAGCCAGATTTGTTAAGCTTGGGGTTTGCAGTAGTTGAACATGGTTGAAGAGCTGGCCACCTTAGATTGGCCAAAACTCAGCGATTGGCACAAGAGTAGGCTACGGTCTGTTTACAATTCCATTTAGGTTACTGTTCGTGATGTACAGAGAAAGCTTTAGGTCGAAATTAAAATACACAAGGAGGCAGCTTTAGGCCACACTTGATTTGAAAGCTAGAGAGGTCTGGTGGAGGCTGCATTCTCCTCTCCAGGAAGTACATTTGTGGGCTGCTAAGCCACAAGATAAGGAAGAACACAAGACAGCTAGAGAAGGCCACGAGCTGGACCCAATACCCACATATTCAGGAGTAAACACTGGTGCTGTGAAAGGGTCAGTGCCTCCATAAACGTCTCCACAGACATAGAGCTCTGAGCGGACACGGACCACTACACACAACAGAGCTACACACAACAGAGCTTGACAAGCCACAGAGCTCCACAAACCGCAGAGCTCTCTACAGACACAGACATCTCCTCACCACAGAGCTTTCCAAACCAAAGAGCTCTCCACATACACAGAGCTCTCCACACCACAGATCTCTCCACAGACACTGAGCTCTCCTCAACACAGAGCTCTCTACTGACACAGACATATTTATAGACACAGATCTCCACACAAGACTCTCCACACCACGGAGCACTCTACACTACAGAGCTCACCAGACCACAGAATTCTCCACAGACACAGAGCTCTCCACGCTACAGAGCTCTCCAAAGACACAGAACTCTCCACACCAGAGAGCTCTCCACAGACAGAGTTCTCCACACAACGTAGCTCTTTACAGACACAGAGCTCTCCACACCACTTAACTCTCAACAGTCACAGAAATCTCCACACCACAGAACTCTCCTCAGTCACAGAGCTACCCACACCACATAGCTCTCTGCACTACAGAGCTTGCCACATTCACAGACCTCTCCACCAACACAGAGCTCTCCAGACACACAACTCTCCATACAACAGAGATCTCCACAGACACAGAGCTTGCCACACCACAGAACTCTCCACAGAAACAGAGATCCCCACAGCGCAGAGTTCACAGACACAGGGCTCTCCACACCACTGGGTTCTCCACAGACATAGAACTCTCCACAGATACAAAACTCCCCACAGACACAGGACTCTCCACAGACACAGAGCTCTTCATAGACGCAGAGCTCTCCCCACCACAGAGCTCTTCAGACCACACACCTCTCCATAGACACAGAACTTTCCACAGACTTAGAATTCTCCACAGACACAGAGATCCCCACACCACATAGTTATCCACACTACAGAGCTCTCCACAGACGCAGAGCTCTCCACAGACACAGGACTGTCCACACCACAGAGCTCTTCAAACCATGGAGCTCTTCACACTGCAGAGCTCTCCACACCACAGGGCTCTCCACAGACACTGAGATCTCCTCAATACAGAGCTCT
This sequence comes from Homo sapiens, assembly GCF_000001405.40. Classification (NCBI taxonomy): domain Eukaryota; kingdom Metazoa; phylum Chordata; class Mammalia; order Primates; family Hominidae; genus Homo; species Homo sapiens. Next base: position 79,732 of record NT_187552.1, read on the forward strand.
CCACTAACACAGATCTATTTACAGACACAGATCTCCACACCACAGAGCTGTCCACACCACAGAACTCTTCACAGACACAGAGCTCTCCACATACATGGAGCTCTCCATAGACACAAACCTCACCACATACACAGAGCTCTTGACACCACAGAGCTCTCTGCAGACAAAGAGCTCAACACACCACAGAGCTCTCCACACCACATAGTTCTCCACATACAGAGAGCCCTCCACATACACAGAATTCTTCACATACAGAGCTCTTCACACCACAGAGCTCTCCAGATAGAGAGTTCTTCACACCACAGAGCTCTTCACACCATAGAGCTCTCTACAACACAGAACTCTTCACACCGTGGAACACTCCACAGACACAGAGATCACCACACCACAGAGCTCTCCACAGACACAGAGATCCCCACACCACATAGTTATCCACACTACAGAACTCTCCACACCGCAGAGCTCTTCACAGACATACAGCTCTCCACAGACACAGGGCTCTCCATACCACTGAGCTCTCCACAGAAAGAACTCTTCACAGACATAGAGTCTCCACATCACTGAGCTCTTCACAGACACAGAACTTTCCACAGACACGAGACTCTCCACAGACACAGAGGTCTCCACACCATAGACCTCTCCACACCACAGAGCTCTTCACACCACAGAGTTCCTCATACCACAGAGCTCTCCACAGACACAGAGCTCTCCACAGACACAGGGCTCTCCACACCACAGGGCTCTCCACAGACACTGAGATCTCCTCAACACAGAGGTCTTCACTGACACAGATCTATTTACAGACACAGATCTCCACACCACACAGTTCTCCACACCACAAAGCTCTCCAAAGACACACAGTTCTTCACACCACAGAGCTCTCCGCAGACACACAGCTCTCTCTACAGACACACGTCTCTCTACAGACACAAACCTCTTCACATACATGGAGCTCTTCACACCACAGAGCTCTTCACACCACAGAGTTCCCCACATTAAGAGAGCTCCCCACATCACATCACAGAGTTCTTCACACCACAGAGCTCTCCACGTAGGAAGTTCTTCATGCCTCAGAGCTCTTCACAGCACAGACCTCTCAACATACACCGAGCTCTCCAGACCACAGAACTCCCCACATCACGGAACTCCCCACATACCCAGAGCTGTCCACATCACAGCGCTCTGTACACCACTTAGCTCTCCACAGACACAGAGCTCGCTACAATACAGAGCTCTCCAGACCACAGAATTCTCCAAATACACAGAGCTTTCCACACCACAGAACTCTCCACACCACAGAGCTCTTCACACCACAGCGCTCTCCTCACCATAGGGCTCTCCACAGACACAGGGGTGTCCACTCCACAGATCTCTTCACACCACAGAGCTCTCCACATACACAGAGGTCTCCACACCACAGAGCTCTTTACTGACACAGAACTCTCCACACCACAGCAATCTCCACAGACACAGAGCTCTTCATACCACAGAGCTCTTCACATACACAGAGCTCTTCACATACGCAGAGCTCTCCACACCACAGAATTCTCCATAGACACAGAACTCGCTCTCCACACAACAGAGCTCTTCACACCACACAGCTCTCAGTGTACACAAAGTTCTTCACACCACAGAACTCTACTTGCCACAGAGTGCTCCATAGACACAGGGCTCTCCACACCACAGAGCTCTACACACTAAAGAATTCTCCACAGACAGAGCGCTCTACACTCCACAGAGCTCTCCAGAGACACAGAGCTCTCCACACCACAGAGACTTCCATATCACAGAGCTCTCCACAGACATAGAGCTCTCCACAGAGATGTCCGCACAGCAGAGCACTCCACATACACACAGCTGTTCACACCACAGAGATCTCCAGACCACAGAATTCTCCATAGACACAGAAGGCTCTGCACACACAGAACTCTCCACACCACAGAGCTCTTCACATATGCAGAGCTTTCCACAGATAGAGCTCTCCACAGAGATGTCCACACAACAGAGCTCTACAGAGCTGTTCATGCCACAGAGATCTCCAAACCACAGTTCTCCATAGACACAGAACTCTTGACATACGTGGAGCTCTCCACATTACAGAGCTCTTCACATATGCAGAACACTTCACACCACAGAGCTCTCCAAACCACAGAGCTCTCCCCAACAAAGCTCTCCACAACACAGAGCACTCCACAGACACAGAGCTCCCCACACCACAGAGCTCTCCACACCACAGAGCTCTCCACATACACAGAACTCACCACAGACACAGAGCTCTCCACACAACAGAGCTCTCCACAGTCACAGAGATCTCCACCACAGAGCTCTCCACATGCCCAGGGATCTCCACACCACAGAGCTCTCCACATCACAGAGCTCTCCACATACAGAGTCTAGCTCTCCACACCACAGAGCTCTTCACACCACAGAGTTCTTCACATACACAGAACTCTCCACAACACAAAGCCCTCAACAGACAGCGCTCTCCACACCACAGAGCTCTCCACATACACAGAGCTCTCCACATACACAGAGCTCACCACAGACACAGAGCTCACCACAGACACAGAGCTCTCCACATACACAGAGCTCACCACAGACACAGAGCTCACCACAGACACAGAGCTCTCCACATACACAGAGCTCACCACAGACACAGAGCTCACCACAGACACAGAGCTCTCCACATACACAGAGCTCACCACAGACACAGAGCTCACCACAGACACAGAGCTCTCCACATACACAGAGCTCACCACAGACACAGAGCTCACCACAGACACAGAGCTCTCCACATTCACAGAGCTCTCCACACCACAGAGCTCTCTACATACACAGAGCTCTCCACATCACAGAACTCTCCACATACAGAGAGCTCTCCACAAACACAGAGCTCGCCACACCACAGAGATCTCTAAACCACAGAGCTGTCCACATACAAAGAGCTCTTTACACCACAGAGATCTCCACACAGCAGAGGTCTCCACAAACACAGAGCTCTCCACACCACAGAGCTCTTGACACCACAGAGCTCAACACACCAAAGAGCTTTCCACAGACACAGAGCTCTCCACAGACACAGAGCTCTCCACAGACACAGAGCTTCCAGACCACAGAGCTCTCCACAACACGGTTTTTCACACCACAGAACTCTTTATACCACAGAGCTCTCCACAGACACAGAGCTCTCAAGGCCACAGAGCTGTCCACACCACAGAGCTCTCCACAGACACAGAGCTCTCCACATACACAACTTTCCACGCCACAGAGGTCTCCACATACAGAGCTCTCCACAGACACAGAGCTTTCCACACCACAGACACCCATGTACTTACCCCTAGGTCTGACTCCCCTTAGCATAGACCCCCAACACTTAAATTTTCTGCACTCACACTGGCAGCTGTGACTTCAGCGGCACTGATGCCCTCTACACTGACCCCCTCATCAATGACATTTGCAGCACTGACCTTCCCAGCACTGACCCCTCTAGCACTGACCCCCTGCACTGACCCTTTTTGCACTGACCACTGCCTGCAATGAGCACCCCTCCCCTGATACCACAGCACTGACACCCATACGACCGACCTCCCCAGCAGGTACATCTCCTGCACTGACCTCCACAGCACTGACACCCCCAGCACTGACTCCCCCAGCACTGACACCCTCGGCACTGACACCCCCGGCACTGGCACCCCCGGCACTGACACCCCCAACACTGACACCCCAGCACTGACACCCCCAGCACTGACCCCCCAGCACTGCTCCCTCAGCACTGATCCCCCCAGCACTGACACCCCAGCACTGACCCCCCAGCACTGCTCCCTCAGCACTCATCCCCCCAGCACTGACATCCCCAGCACTGACCCCCCAGCACAGCTCCCTCAGCACTGATCCCCCCAGCACCGACGTCCAAGCACTGACTTCCCCAGCACTGACCTCCCAGGTACTGACAACCCAGGTACTGAGCCCCCATCACTGACACTCCAGCACTGACCCCCCACCAGAATTGCTCCCTCAGCACTAATCCCCCCACCACTGATGCCCCCAGCACTGATGCCCCCAGGTATGGGTATGACACCCATACAACTAACACCCCAACACTGACACTGCCAGCACTAATGTCCCCAGCACTAACAGCCCTGCACTGACACTCCCAGCACGAACACCCCAACACTGAGACCCCCAGCACTCATACCTCCAGCACTGACAGCCCTGCACTGACACTCCCAGCACTGACACCCTCAACACTGAGACCCCCAGCACTCATACCTCCAGCACTGACACCCTCAACACTGAGAACCCCAGCACTCATACCTCCAGCACTGACACCCCCACCACTGAGACCCCCAGCACTCATACCTCCAGCACTAACAGCCGGGCACTGACACTCCCAGCACTGACACCCCCACCACTGAGACCGCCAGCACTCATACCTCCAGCACTGACAGCCCCAACACTGAGACCCCCAGCACTGAGACCCCCAACACTGACACCCCCAGCACTGACACCCCTAACACTGAGACCCCCAGCACTGACACCCCCAGCACTCATACCTCCAGCACTGACAGCCCCAACAGTGAGACCCCCAGCACTTATACCTCCAGCACTGACACCCCCAACACTGAGACCCCCAGCACTGACACCCCCAGCACTGACACCCCCAGCATTCATACTTCCAGCACTGACAGCCCCAACACTGAGACCCCCAGCACTGACACCCCCAACACTGAGACCCCCAGCACTCATACCTCCAGCACTGACACCCCCAACACTGAGACCCCCAACACTGAGACTCCCAGCACTCATACCTCCAGCACTGACAGCCCTGCACTGACACTCCCAGCACTGATACCCCCAACACTGAGACCCCCAGCACTCATACCTCCAGCACTGACACCCCCAACACTGAGACCCCCAACACTGAGACCCCCAGCACTCATACCTCCAGCACTGACAGCCCTGCACTGACACTCCCAGCACTGACACCCCCAACACTGAGTCCCCCAGCACTCATACCTCCGGCACTGGCATCCCCAACACTGAGACCCCCAGCACTAACACCCCAACACTGACGTCCCCAGCACTGACACCCCAACATTGACGTCCGCAGCACTGACACCCCTGGCACTGAGACCCCAGCAGTGACAGCCCCTGCTGTCAATACATAACAGTAATTTGTTATTTATTTATTCTTGGTTAGAACTCACAGAATAGTACAGAGAACAACATAGAACCTCTAGGTACTCACCACCTAAATCCCAAACACAGTATTTTTCCACACTTCTTTATTTTCTGAAATACACAAGGCTGTTCACCCTGGCCTGGGGAGGGTTGTGGAGCCTGTGTTGTTGGAGCAAAGGTTGTTAACTATTCTGAGTGTTATCTCTTTTTTCTATCTATCACATATACATTGAAACGCTTCCATCCTTTTCCTCAAGCCAATGCCCCCACTCTCCGAGGAGACTCTGCTCTGAGTTCGGTGTGTGGAGTTGGGTGACGTTTGGAAAGACAGCATGCTACACATAATGTAAATGTAACTACTTATGTTTCCAGAAATAAACTTCAGTATTTTATGCCCTAGTTGAATCTTGAAATAATACAATTGAAGTTCAAGCTTGAAATGCTCTAAAAAGTTTGAAAAGCTAAGTTCAACTGTACAATTTGAAGACTTCTCCAGTGCTGAGGCTTAGCTGTTCACCCTGACCTGGGGAGGGTTGTGGAGCCTGTGTTGTTGGAGCAAACGTTGTTAACTATTCTGAGTGTTATCTCTTTTTTCTATCTCTGCTGGCCTGTGTTACTCTCCGGCTCTGCCTAGGGAAGCTGAGCTTAGGATGGGTTAAGGGAACAACTGGACGGAAAGCCCAGGTAGGAAGCAGCAGGAAGTTACTGAGCCCATGATGCAGGGCTCAGGGGAGTGGCCTCGGTGGGCAGGGCTTGGGGGAGCAGCCTCGTTGACACAGGGCTCAGGGGAGTGGCCTCGGTGGGCAGGCTGCACACCTGTACTTCTGGGGGCTGTTAGAGGCCGCTGGGCAGTTGCTGCAGCTGAACCAGACATGAGAGAGGCTTTCACTGGTCAAAGGCTTGGGAGGACACCGGGGTTTCCCCAGGCCTTGCACGTGCAGATCAGCTGGCGTGAGCCCTGTGGATAATGAGACTCTCTGATGCTGATCTTCCCGCGGGTGGAGCACCAGACACAGATTCTAGGCGTGGTTTCCCCCAGTTTGTGTTCAGCCAAGGAGAGGCCCTGGCCTCTGGGATCCCGGGAAAGCATATCCTGCAGGGAATTAATCCCAGGGTCTCAGGTCGCGTTATGATTCACTCGCTGGATAGTTAAACGACCCAGATTCAAAAGGGGCAGCTCAAACCTTTGCCCCCTGGGAACAAAAGCAGGAGATTAGCTCTGTGTTATCAATCAGCATTGTCAGGACAGAATGAAAAAGGCTAACTTTAAAGGCTTCACCTGTTGAGGCCTTAGTCAGAGCCTGGATGGGAATCAAAGGTCATTCCTGCCCAAGGTTTTGTCTCAAGTCCTCAAATGGGTAGCACTGAATTACCTTTAAAAATGGCCTCAAAGGACCGGAGATGAAGCATGGATTAGTGTCTTAATCTTAATAGCACGAGGCCTGTAGTTAGGGTCCAGGGAACTTGGGGGAAGAGGTGGCATTGTCCTGGGCCGTCCCTGGCATGCGGTGCTATTAGAGGTGGGCTGGGGTGAGGGTGGGCTTTGTGCCTCTGGACAGGACCCTTTCACCGGCTTTGGGGGCGTTCTCACAGAGCTTTGCCAGCTGACTTAGCGTTGGCCCTCTGACAATGGGATTTGTCAAGACCAGATGAATGAAATCTTAGGCTCAGACGGGGAAAGGCAGGTATCCTGCTCTGGTATTTATGTGAGGAGCAATGTTGGGCCAGCCTGAGCTGTGGGGCTGGAGAAGACCCCAAATGCCAAAATATGATCTGGTTTCTCTGCCACCCCTCATCCCCCTTTAGTGCCACCGGGGACAACCAAATCTGATCAGAGGCCGCCTGTTTCTGCCTGTGGGTCCTCTACCCAGCTGCAAGAGTGGTTTCTATACTGATGTGGACCCCAGCCTGCCTGCTGTGAAGCTGCCTTCAGCACAGAAGGGGAGGTTGGGGCTGGCCTCTGAGGAGTGACCTGGCCGAGCCCACTGTCCACCAAGGCCTCAATGCCTTCCCTGCCACGTAGGGTCCCCGTTTCTGCCTGGCGGCATGAGGCTGTGCCGGGCCTGTCATCGCAGATCGTGGGCAAGAGCTGCCTCAGGGTGGAAGAGACTGCACAGAGCTGTCCCTGAGTGGCCTCTGGCTAGGACAGGACCTGCAAGGGGAACAGCCTCACTTCCTTCTCCCTGACCATTCCGTCCATACTCAAAGCCGACTCCCTTCCTCCCTCTCCAACCCACTATGTGCTGTGGATGGGCTGTGGCTTCACTGGGCACCCCCATCTGCTGCCTCTATTGTTCCCCATCCCCAGCCAAGTGGGTCTTGTTTTCCTTCACTGCAGGCAGAACTCGAGCCTGTGCTGTGCCCTGATGAGTGGCTCCCCTTCTTCCTGGGCCGTTCCATGGGTGTGCCTTTGCCACGCTCAACCTTCCCACCCCGACGCAACATTGATCCCCAAGTCAGGGTGGGCTCGGGACCCCTCAACTTTCCCCTGTGCCCCTGTGCATTTCATGGGCAAATCAAACCTTTTCAAACTCTCGCCTCCACAGGTCCCCAGGGGTGGACACTCCAAGGTCCCCGTTGCTCCTGTCCTCTGCCAGCCGCCTCACCGCCTAAATCAGTGGCCCAGCCCAGGCCATTACCACAAGGCTAGCTGGCCTCGATGTCAGCACCTACCTTTCTGAGGGCGACTTTCTGAGGCTCCAGGCCCCAGCAGGTGGGATTTCTCTTTCCATCCGCACCCCGACGGCATCGTGCTGGCTGTTCAGTGTGGCGGCCGCAGCTGGTGTCCAGCTACAGCCCACGGAGCCAGGGACAAACCTGGGTTTAGTCAGGATGCCGGTGGGGTTGCCTCGCCTCTGTGCGTGGAGAAGTTACTGCCAGTGTCCCGATGCGGGAATCCTTCCAGGAATGCTCTCACCTGTAAAAATGTAGAAGTTCAATAACAAAATATGAAACTGCAGGAAATGGGTTTGAGATACCTATACGATAAAAACAGATTTATGTAAAACTTATTAGAGGAAAAGCTGAATTAGCTTTCTCTTCTCTTAATAGAAAATGATATATCAGCAGGGTGCATTGGCTCACGCCTGTAATCCCAGCACTTTGGGAGGCTGAGGCGGGCGGATCACTTGAGGTCAGGAGTTTGAGACCAGCCTGGCCAACATGGTGAAATCCCGTCTCCACTAAAAATACAAAAATTAGCTGGGCATGGTGGCTTTTGCCTGTAATTCCAGCTACTCGGGAGGCTGAGGCAGGAGACTCACTTGAACCTGGGAGGCGGAAGTTGCAGTGAGACGAGATTGTGCCACTGCACTCCAGCCTGGGCGAGAGAGCAAGAATCCATCTGAAAAAAAAAAAGAAATGATATATCAAAATTGTCACACATAAAAGCAGTCAAAGGTGTGAGAAAGTGTAGAAAAAGAGCTGGAGAAATGAGGCAGTGTCAGGCAGGTGACTGAAAACACTGATTTTGGATTCTGTGATGTCTGTGGCTTTGCCCGATTTTTCAAGTATGTAATTTGCTTCCATCTCCCTTCTCCTTTCGAATGTGCGTGGAGGGACTCCTTTTCTTGAATAACTCCCCCCCACCAACCAATCCCATTATAAAACCACCAGGCTTCGCAAGGCCTAGTTCTGCCCCCATCTTTATCTCACTTTAGAAGACTTCCCCTGCTCTTGGCTTGAACAATGACGTCTTTTTCTGGGCTCACAAATCTATTTCTGGAATAAACTTCTCCCTGGTGATTTGTCCTTTATTTCCCACTTTCTAGGTTCTCATTCTAATAATTTAATAGGGTTATGTTGATGGTTAATGGTGACATTTGGCCACGGAGGAATACTGATATTTTAAACAGAGATTCAGCAACATTCATAGAATATTTTACCCAACAAATTTGGAAGCATCTTCACAAACATTAGCTTTGAGAAATGTTTTCTAAATTTGATTCTTAGCCAAGTGGTGGAAGGTAGAGGTAGCTTCGGGTGATCCTTAGAAAAAGGTATTTCTGGAGGCTGAGGACAGAAGGGCCTTATTCAAATGATTGTTCTGATCTAAAGCCAGATACAAAAGCCAGTGTAGGAAAGAAAGGGAACTGCCAAGAATGTGTCTGATACTTTCAGACAATCTCTATGCATTTGGGGTCTGGAGAAAAGGAAAGAAAGACACCTTTACAAGAGTCAAACCTAAAAGGGGGACACTAATCCCACAGTTGCCAGCTCCCCCTGGCAGCACCTGTAGCCTCTTTAGTGTCTGGGACAACAGGCCGGCACTGGCCTTGGGTCGGCTGAGGATGGCTGAGAACAAAGGCTCCCACCTCTGCTTGGAGCCCTTGGTGGCTCGTGAAGCTCTTCACGTGGTGCCTGGTGACCAACCCTGGGACCCCAGGCAACTTCATGCCAACCACAGGCCACAGTGATACATGGAAGGACGCTCTAGCACCTTTAGGCCACGCCAATGGAAGGAGGGGTCCTCCCGCACCTGCAGACCACGCTGATGGATGAAGGGGTTCTCCCATACCTGCAGACCACCCTGATGGATGGAGGGGTCCTCCCGCACCTGCAGACCACCCTGATGGATGGAGGGGTTCTCCCGCACCTGCAGACCACCCTGATGGATGGAGGGGTCCTCCCGCACCTGCAGACCACACTGATGGATGGAGGGGTTCTCCGGCACCTGCAGACCACGCTGATGCATGGAGGCGTTCTCCCGCACCTGCAGACCACGCTGATGGATGGAGGGGTTCTCCCGCACCTGCAGACCACGCTGATGGATGGAGGGGTTCTCCTGCACCTGCAGACCATGCTGATGGATGGAGGGGTTCTCCCCCACCTGCAGACCACGCTGATGGATGGAGAGGTTCTCCCGCACCTGCAGACCACCCTGATGGATGGAGGGGTCCTCCTCCACCTGCAGGCCATGCTGATGGATGGAGGGGTCCTCCTGCACCTGCAGGCCATGCTCTGTGTGTGTGTGTGTGTTTTAACTTTGTTGTTTTTGTAAATGGACAATGTGTAATTGTCTATATTTACGGAGTACAAAACAATGATACAATTAATACAATGTGGAATAATTCAATGAAGCTAATTAGCACATCCCTCACCTCAAATACTTAACACTTTTTTGTGGTGAGAACATCTGAAGTTTATTCTCTTTCTCTTTTTTTCTTGATTTTTTAAAAAAGTTTTTATTTCAATAGGTTTCTGGGAAACAGGTGGTGTTTGGTTACATGGATAAGTTCTTTGGTGGTGATTTCTGAGATTTCGATGCACCCATCACCCGAGCAGTGTACACTGTATCCAATGTGTAGTCTTTTATCCCTCATCCCCCTCCCACGCTTCCCCCCTTGTCCCCAAAGTCCATTGTATCATTCTTATACTTTTGCGTCTTCATAGCTTAGATCCCACTTATGAGTGAGAACATACGATGTTTGGTTTTCCATTCCTGAGTTACACTTAGAATAATGGTGTCCAGTTTCATCCAGGTTGCTGCAAATGCCGTTATTTCATTCCTTTTTATGGCTTAGTAGTATCCTATGGTATACATGTACCACAGTTTCTTTATCCATAATGGGCATCTGGGCTGGTTGCATATTTTTGCAATTGTGAATTGTGCTGCTATAAACATGCATGTGCAAGTATCTTTTTGGTATAATGACTTCTTTTCCTCTGGGTAGATAACCAGTAATGGGATTGCTGGATCAAATGGTAGATCTACTTTTAGTTCTTTAAGGAATCTCTACACTGTTTTCCATAGTGGTTGTACTTGTTTACATTCCCACCAACAGTTTAAAAGTGTTCCCTTTACACGACATCCATGCCAACCTCTTCTTCTCTATTTTTTTTTATTTTTTTGATTTTTTGATTATGGCCACTCTTGCAGGAGTAAGGTGGTATGGCATTGTGGTTTTGATTTGCGTTTCCCTGATAATTAGTGACATTGAGCATTTTTTCATGTTTGTTGGCCATTTGTATATCCTCTTTTGAGAATTGTACGTTCATGCTCTTAGCCTACTTTTTGATGGGATTTAATTTTTTTCTTGCTGATTTGTTTGAGTTCCCTGTAGATTCTAGATATTAGTCCTTTGTCAGATGTATAGTTTGTGAATATTTTCTCCCACTCTGTGGGTTGTCTGTTTACTCTGCTGATTAAAAAGCTTCTGCAGAAGGTTTTTAGTTTAATTAAGTCCCATCTATTTATCCTTATTTTTGTTGCATTTGCTTTTGGGTTCTTGGTCATGAAGTCTTTGCCTAAGCCAACGTCTAGAAGGGGTTTTCCGATGTTATCTTCTAACATTTTTACGGTTTCAGTCTTAGATTTAAGTCTTTGATCCATTTTGAGTTTGTTTTCATATAAGGTGAGAAATGAGGATCCAGCTTCATTCTTCTATATAAGGCTTGCCAATTATCTCAGCACCATTTCTTGAATAGGGTATCCTTTCCCCACTTTGTGTTTTTGTTTGTTTTGTCAAAGATCACTTGACTGTAAGTATTTGGCTTTATTTCTGGGTTCTCTATTCTGCTCCTTTGGTCTAAGTGCCTCTTTATACCAGTACCATACTGTTTCGGTGACTATAGCTTTACAATATAGTTTGAAGTCAAGTAATGTAATGCATTCAGATTTGTTTTGTTTGTTTGTTTGTTTGTTTTTGCTTAGTCTTTCTTTGGCTATGCTGGATCTTTTTTGGCTCCATATGAATTTCAGGATTGTTTTTTCTAGTTCTATGAAGAATGATGGCGGTATTTTGATAGGAATTGCATGAATTTGTAGGATTGCTTTTAGCAGTTTGGTCATTTTCACAATACTGATTATACTCATCCATGAGTATGGGATGTGATTCCATTTATTTGTGTCACGTATAATTTCTTTCAGCAATGTTTTGTAGTTTTCCCTGTAGAGGTCTTTCACCTCCTTGATTATGAATATTCCTAAGTATTTTATTTTATTTTATTTTGCAGCTATTGTAAAAGGGACTGAGTTCTTGATTTGAATCTCAACTTAGTTGCTGTTGGTGTAGAGCAGTGCTACTGATTTGTGTACATTAATTTTGTATTCTGAAACACTACTGAATTCATTTATTAGTTCTAGAAGCTGTTTGGATGAGTCTTTAGGTTTTTCTAGGTATATGATTATATCATTGATGAACAGTGACAGTTTGACTTCCTCTTTACCAATTTGGATGCACTTTATTTCTTTCTCTTCTCTGATTGCTCTGGCTAGGACTTCCAGTACTATGTTGAATAAAAGTGGTGAAAGTGGGCATGCTTGTTTTTCCCAGTTCTTGGGGGAATGCTTTCAACTTTTCCCCATTCAGTATAATACTGGCTGTGGGTTTGTCATAGATGGCTTTTATTTCTTTAAGGTAGGCCTTTTCTATGCTGACTTTGCTGAGGGTTTTAATCATAAAGCGATGCTGGATTTTGTCAAATGCTTTTTCTGCATCTATTGAAATGATCACGTGATTTTCTTTTTAATTCTGTTTATGTGATGTATCACATTTATTGACTTGCGGGTGTTAAACCATCCCTGCATCCCTGTATGAAACCAACTTAATCATGGTGGATTATCTTTTTGATATGCTGTTGGATTTAGTTAGCTAATATTGTGTTGAAGAGTTTTGCATCTGTGTTCATCAGGGATATTGGTGGGTGTTTTTGTTGTTGTTGTTATGTCCTTTCCTGGTTTTGGTATTAGGGTGCTACTGGCTTCATAGGATGATTTAAGAAGGATTTCCTCTTCTCTACATTTTGAAACAGTGTCAATAGGATATGTACCAATTCTTCTTTGAATATCTGATAGAATTCAGCTGTGAATCCATCTGGTCCTAAACTTTTTTTGGTCGGCAATTTTTAAATTATCATTTCAATCTTGTTGCTTTTGGTCAGAGTTCAGAGTTTCTATTTCTTCCCAGTTTAATCTAGGAGAGTTGTATATTTCCAGAAATTTATCCATCTCCTCTAGGTTTTCTAGTTTGTGTGCATAAAGGTGTTCATAGTAGCCTTGAATGATCTTTTGTATTTCTGTGGTATCAGTTGTAATATCTGCTGTTTCATTTCTCATTGAGTTCATTTGGATCTTTTCTCTTTTATTGGTTAATCTCATTAGTGACCTATCAATTTTATCTTTTCAAAGAACCAGCTTTTTGTTTCACTTGTATTTTGTATTTTTTTGTTTCAATTTCCTTTAGTTTTGCTCTGATTTTTGTTATGTTTTTTCTTCTGCTGGGTTTGGGTTCATTTGTTCTTTTATTTCTAGTTTCTTGAGGTGTGACCTTAGATTGTCTATTTGTGCTTTTACCAACTTTTTGATGTAGGCATTTAATTCTATGAACTTTCCTCTTAGGACCACTTTTGCTGTATCTCAGAGGTTTTGACAGGTTGTATAACTATTATCATTTGGTTCAAATAATTTTTAAATTTCCATCTTGATTTCATTGTTGACCCAATGATCATTCAGGAGCAGGTTGTTTAATTTCCTTGTATTTGGACTGCTTTGAGGGTTTACTTTGGAGTTGATTTCTGATTTTATTCCACTGTGGTCTGAGGGTGTACTTGATATAATTTCAATTTCCTTAAATTTATTGAGATTTGTTTTGTAGTCTATCATATGGTCTATCATGGAGAATGTTCCATGTGCTGATGAGTAGCGTGTATATTCTGCAGTTGCTGGGCAGGATGTTCTGTAAATATCTGTTAATCCATTTGTTGTAGGGTATAGTTTAAGTCCATTGTTTCTTTGTTGACTTTCTGTCTTGATGACCTGTCTATTGCTGTCAGTAGAGTATTGAAGTCCGCCATTATTATTGAGTTGCCATCTATCTCATTTCTTAGGACTAGTAGTAATTGTTTTGTAAATTTGGGAGCTCTAGTGGTAGGTGCATATATATTTAGGATTGTGATGTTTTCCTGTTGGACTAGTCCTTTTATCAGTATACAATATTCCTCTGTCTTTTTAAACTGTTGTTGCTTTAAAGTCCATTTTGTCTGATATAAGAATAGCTGCTGCTGCTTGCTCTGGTGTCCTTTTGCATGGAATGTCTTTTTCCACCCATTTACCTTAAGTTTATGTGAGTGCTTACGTGTTAGGTGAGTCTCTCGAAGACAGCAGATACTTGATTGGTGAATTCTTATCCATTCTGCCATTCTGTATCTTTTAAGTGGAGCATTTAGGCCATTTGCATTCAACGTTAGTATCGAGATTTGAGGTACTAGTCTATTCGTTGTGCTAGTTGTTGCCTGAATACCTTACTTATGTTTTTCATTGTGTTATTGTTTTAAATGTCCTGTGAAATTTATGCTTTAAGGAGGTTCTAGTTTGGTGTACTTTTAGGATTTGTTTCAAGATTTAGAGCTCCTTTTAGCAGTGCTTGTAGTGCTGGCTTGGTAGTGGTGAATTCTCTCAGCATTTGTTTGTTTGAAAAAGACTTTCTCTTTGCTTCATTTATGAAGCTTAGTTTTGCTGAGTGAAAGGAAAATATCTTGGGTCCCTGAAATCAATGTGCTAAAAGGAAATGTCAAGTTGGGAACCCCTTAGGGCAAACCTGCCCCACTTTTTATTCAAAGTCACCCCTCTGCTCACTGAGATAAATGCATATCTGATTGCCTCTTTTGGGGAGGCTAATCAGAAACTTAAAAGAATGCAAGCATTTTTCTCTTATCTACCTACAATTTGGAAGCCCCCTCCCCACTTTGAGTTGTCCCACCTTTCCAGACAGAACCAATGTTCACCTTACATATGTTGATTGATGTCTTGTGTCTCCCTAAAATGTTAAATACCAAACTGTGTTCTGACTGCCTTGGGCACATGTCGTTAGGACTCCCTGAGGCTGTCATGGGTGTGCATCCTCAACCTTGGCAAAATAAACTTTCTAAATTAACTGAGACCTGTCTCAGATTTTTGAGGTTCACATTTTTGTACCCATGGAGGGATTCTGAGTGGAGAAGCCCGTGACCTTTGACAAATCTCCTATTGGTGCTTGGTACCAGCATGAGCTAACTTTATAGCTCAAACCAATAGAACAATTTGCTGAGGTCTGGGAGCACCTGCTCAAGAGAATCCCTGATCTCTCGAAATTTGGTCAAGATCTAAAGTTTATTTTGCTGTACAGCTCCTTTTTTTTTTGGAGTTTTACTTGCTTCCAACACAGGAAGGCAAGTTTTTCCTGCTTCCATGATGATGGAAGGCAGGTAACTCCTTTTTGGAGTTTGAGCTTGCTTCCAACACAGGAAGGCAAGTTTTTCCTGCTTCCATGATGATGGAAGGCAGGTAACTCCTTTCTGGAGTTTGAGCTTGCTTCCAACAGGGAAGATGAGGTTTTCTTTCCTGCTTCTAGGATGGCAGAGAGCTGTCTTCAGCCTGAGACCCATCCCTAGGTAAATAACTGAATTGGGGTTTGTCTTGGCTAAAGTTAAAATTAACAACCAGCTGGTCTTAATTTCTTGTTACCATTAGAGCACTCAGTAATCATATAAGTTGTATAATCATTTATTTTGCTTAACCGATTTGTTGTTGTTGTTGTTTGCTGCTTTTGTTGTTGTTAGTTTGTTGTTGTTGTTGTTTGTTTCTGTTTTTGTTTCAGTCTTTTTCTCATTGAGTTTGACCAACTCTATCCAATTTGATCAAATCCAAAGGAAAGTTCCAAATTATGGATAAGCGAGGCCTCTAAGTGGCTAAATTCCCACCAAAACAAACAAACAAACAAACAACAAAAAAGTGGTATGGAGAGGGTAGAAAAATGGCTAGTGAAAGGAAGAAAAGGAAAGATTTTTGATTTTGACTACTTAAGGGGCTTTATTTACATAACAAGGCCACCCTTTTGCTAGCCAGGTGAAACCTAAAGAACAATGGCTGTGCTTCTGAAACAGCAGCCATGAATGCAACAGGACACAATTGAAGAAACTGGTTATCTTACGAAGGGTTTGACTGGAATGGTGTGCTTTCCTTTAAGGAATCAAACTTGACTTATGGAGCCAATAAAAGCCCCTAGGGAAAATTGACCTCATACTTTCACTGTACAGGGTTCCTGACCTGTGGTAAGTAAAGAATGTCACTTTCTGACAGGCCCAGGAGCCCCAAGTTTATCTTGGAACCCCAAGAGGAGAGGATCACCCAACTCATAGGTATTTAATGGCACAAATCCATGGCTGGGCTTGGCTTTAAAAAGAGTCTTATTTGAGATTCCTTCTATGGAACAATGTTCCATCAAAACCCATTTAAAAGTCTACGTAAAAAATAATTATTCTTGCTGCACTGTCTACAAATAATTAGGCCAAGTATAATAAAGCAATCAATTCTATCGTGATTTGTTTTTAGTAAAAATGGGAAACTGGAGAGAGAAAAATTGTTTCAAAAACTATAACACTAACTATAATCAAACACTTGTTAGATTCTAGTTTTGCCTAATGTTTTTCAATTTTTAGTATTTTTCCACCATTTGGACTGAATTCTAATTTTTCTTGGCTACAAGTCTTCAAAATAAGTCTTCAATTTTTTCCTTCTTCTTTTTTATTTTTTCCTAATTTGGAGTCACTGAAAACTAAGCTGTGCTTTTTTAAAGCCCTTTGAACTGATGCCAGAGAACTTAAACTTCAGAAGAAAATAACAGCAACCTATTTACATACACGAGCTACTTTCATACCTGCCTACTGATGTATGAACTCCAGAGTAATGAGGCCTATATCAGTTTTCCAGGATTGTTCTTTTGTTTGTTATTGTTTTTCTCTCTTCCTCCCCCTATTTTTCTCTTCATAGGACATGAGACTTCACAACCTTCTAAAAATGAACTTTCCTAATAACTTGGGACCTACCTGTCTAGGAATAAGCCATCCTAGCCATGAGAGATCAGATGAAACCTGGAACCAGAGACTCATTTTCTCTAAAACGCTTTCTCCAAAAGGTTTTTAAAAAGAAAAGGGGTTGGGGAATGTGAAAGAAAAATATCTTGGGCCCCCAAAATCACTAAGCTAAAGGGAAATGTCAAGCTAGGATCTCCTTAGGGCAAACCTGCCTCCCATTCTATTCAGTCACCCCTCTGCTCACTGAGATAAATACATATCTGATTGCCTCCTTTGGGGAGGCTAATCAGAAACCCAAAAGAATGCAACCATTTGTCTCTTATCTTCCTACAGTTTGGAAGCCCCCTCCCCACTTTGAGTTGTCCCACCTTTCCAAACAGAACCAATGTTCACCTTACATATGTTGATTGATGTCTCGTGTCTCCCTAAAATATATAAAACCAAATTGTGCTCTGACTACCTTAGGCATATGTCATCAGGACCTCCTGAGGCCGTGTCATGGGTGTGCATCCTCAACCTTGGCAAAATAAACTTTCTAAATTAATTGAGACCTATCTCAAATGTTCAGGGTTCACAGCTGGATACAAAATTCTTGGCTGGTAATTGTTTTGTTTAAGGAGGCTGAAAATAGGACCCCAATCCCTTCTAGCTTGTAGGGTTTCTGCTGAGAAATCTGCTGTTAATCTGATAGGTTTTCTTGTATAGGTTACCTGATGTTTTTGCTTCACAGCTCTTAAGATTCTTTCCTTTGTCTTGACTTTAGATAAACTGATGACTATGTCCGTAGGCAATGACCTTTTTGTGATGAATTTCCCAGGTATTCTCTGAGCTTCTTGCATTTGGATGTCTAGATCTCTAGCAAGCCCAGATAAATTTTCCCCTATTATTCCTTCAAATATGTTTTTCAATATTTAGATTTTTCTTCTTCCTCAGGAACACCAATTATTCTTAGGTTTGGTTGTTTAACGTAATCCCACACTTCTTGGAAGCTTTGTTTATTTTTTAAAATAATTTTTTCTTTGTCTTTGTTGCGTGACGTTAACTCGAAAGCTTTGTCTTCAAGTTCTGAAGTTCTTTCTTCTACTTGTTCAGTTCTATTGCTGAGATTTTCCAGTGCCTTTTGCATTTCTCTAAGTGTGTCCTTCATTTCCAGAAGTTGTGATTGTTTTTTTTATTTATGCTCTCTATTTCACAGGATATTTTTCCATTCATATTTTGTACCATTGATAGGGTTTGGCTCTGCGTCCCCACCCAAATCTCATCTTGAATTGTACTCCTATAATTCCCACGTGTTGTGGGAGGGACCTTGTGGGAGATGGCTGGATCGTGGGGGGCGATTTTCCCCATGCTGTTCTTGTGATAGTGAATAAGTCTCACCAGATCTGATGGTTTGATAAGGGGAAACCCATTTTACCTGGCTCTCATTCTTTCTTTCCCTGCTGCCATCCACTTAAGATGTGACTTGCTCCTCCTTGCCTTCTGCCATGATTGTGAGGCTTCCCCAGTCACATGGAACTGTACGTCCAATTAAACCTCTTTCTTTTGTAAATTGCCCAGTCTTGGGTATGTCTTTATCAGCAGCATGAAAATAGACGAATACAACCATATTTAAAAAAAAATTTCTTTAAGTTAGTCTTCACCTTTCTCTGGTGCCACTTTGATTAGCTTAATAATCAACCTTCTGAATTCTTTTTCTGGCAATTCAGAGGTTTTTTCTTGTTTTGGGTCCATTGCTGATGAGCTAATGTGACCTTTTGGGGGGTTAAGAACCTTGTTTTGTTGTGTTACCAGAATTGTTTTTCTGGTTCCTTCTCACTTGGGTAGACTGTCAGAAGGAGGATCTGGGGCTCAAGGGCTTGTCAGAAGGAGGATCTGAGGCTCAGTGCTGCTGTTCAGATTCTTTGGTCCCACGAGGTGCTCCCTTGATGTGGTGCTCTCCCCCTTCCCCTAGGGATGGGGCTTCCTGAGAGCCAAATTGCGGTGATTGTGATTTCTCTTCTGGGTGTGGCCACCCAGTGGAGCTACTGGACTCTGGAATGGTACTGGGAAATGTCTGCAAAAAGTTCTGTGATGTGATCCGTCTTCAGGTTTCTCAGCTGTGGATACCAGTACCTGTTCTGGTGGAGGTAGCAGGAGGGTGAAGTGAACTCTGTGAGGGTCCTTGGTTGTAGTTTTGTTTAGTGCAGTTGTTTTATGTTGGTTGTAGTTTTGTTTAGTGCAGTGGTTTTATGTTGGTTGTAGTTTTGTTTAGTGCAGTGGTTTTATGTCGGTTGGCCTCCAGCCAGGAGATGGTGCTTTCAAGACTGCATCAGCTGTGGTAGTATAGGGGGTACCAGCTTGCCTCAGGGTCACCTGGATAAGTATTTGGGTTTCTCAGATGATGGGCAGGGACACAGAGCTCCTCAGAGATTATATCCTTTGCCTTCAGCTCCCTGGATGGGTAGAGAAAGACCACCAGGTGGGAGCAAGGATAGGCATATCTGAGCTCAGCTTCTCCTTGGATGGGGCTTGCTGTGGCTGCTGTGGAGGATGGGGGTGTGGTTCCCAGGCCAATGGAATTATATTCCCGGGGGATTATGGCTGCCTCTGCTGTGTCATGCAGGTCACCAAGAAAGTGGGGGAAAGCCAGCAGCCACAGGCTTCACCCAGTTCCCACACACCCAGCAAGGCCAGTCTCCCTCCTGCTGTGCCCCCACAACAGCACTGAGTTTATTTCTAGGCAGCCGGTGAGCAGGGCTACAAGCCTGCCCCAGGCTACGAGCCTCCCCACTGGGAAAGCAAGCAGGGTTTCCAGGTTTCACGCATCCCCACCTGCCATGGCTTCTGTGCTATGTCTGCACTCCTGGTTCACGTGCTCCCCCGGGATTCTGCCCGGGAAGCTTCGCGTTCAGTTGAAATTGTTACAAAATTCAGCTGGAAGTTTCCTTCTCCCAGTGGCCTTTCCCCAGTTCCACTGGCAGCCCTTCCTAAGGACCCCTGTGAGACAAAGTCAGAAATGGCTTCCCTGGAAACTGAGAGTGCCCCCAGGGCTCTTGCTGCTGCTTCCTCTACCCCTACATTTTGCTCAGCTCTCTAAATTTGTCTCAGCTCCAGGTAAGTTCTAATCCTTCTCCTGCGATCTGGACCTTCAGGTTCCCCAGGAAGGTTGTGTTCAGGAATGCACATTCCCCTCTCACACTTCGGGCACTCATGGTGTTGGCTGTCTTATGGGGCCTGCAGAGGCAATCCACTTTTTCAAAGGGTCTATGGATTCTCTTGGCTTTCCTGGTATGTTCCTGCAGTATTTCTTGGAGCAAAAGTTCACGACACGAGTCTCCACATGCTGCTCTGTTTGTCCCAATGGGAGCTGCCCGTTAGTCCTGCCTCCTATCTGCCATTTTTTTGTTTTAATGACCTGAAGTTTATTCTCTTGACTTTGAAATGCACAGTACCCTCTCATTACTGCATCCCGAGCTGGGCAGCAGATGTCAAGGAAACCCACACTCCTGCCTGAAACTCTGCACCTGGCATGGTCCCCACCCCACCCTAACCACCTCCTGCCCTGCCCTGGGTCCTGTTGTTCCAGCTCCCCCATGCACAGGTGGGACGGTGTTGGTCTCTCTGGACCTGGCTGGTCTTGCTGATTCTCCTGTCCCAACTTCTGATCTCCAGAGGACAATGCTTCACGTTCCTGGGCCCTGATGTCTAGAGGAACCCCATCCAAACACCCTGTGAGCCCACTCCCTGGTGGGGGCAGCCTTCTGTGCTCTGGCGCCTTCCTAAAGCACGGGGAGGTCTGCATTCTGGAATGTTCAAGATCGCGTCAGTCACAGCAATGATACAGACAGCAGATGAGGCTCCCGGGGGGCTGAAAGGGTTCGGGTCAGATGACTGAAGAAACAGACAGGCCTGCATCCATCCTGACAGGGTCCAGCGAGACCCCATGCTGGAAGGAGTGGTTCCATCAGCACCTGCGTCTCTCCAGGGCTGTGCTCGGGAGGCCACCTGCAAACCATCGGGTCCGGACACCCACAGGGTCCTGACACCCACAGGGTCCTGACACCCACAGGGAAGGCTGCATCCCCAGCCAAGAGGGGATGCGTTCTGAGCTGAGTCCTCCCTCCCACGTGAGGGGTGTTTTCTCTGAGATCTTTAGTTTTCTGCACCAGGGATCTGTGTGCTGTATGTGAAACCTGCCTCAGCATAGCCCATCCTCCCAGCACCTCCTACCCCACCTGCTGACCAGGGTCGCCTGCCCCTCCTTGCCCTGAACCAGAATTATTTCTCTGGTTCCTTCCATTGGGGTAGACGATGTCAGAGGGAAGACCTGGGGCTCAAGGGCTGCTGTTCAGATTCTTTTGTTCCATGGGGTGCTCCCTTGACATGGCGTCCCCCACTTCAAGCACTGCAGACAGCTGTGAAAGGGAAGAGAGGAGAGACCAAAAGCCCAGCTTATCTCCCTGCACTCAGAATGTCCCAGGGTCTCTCTTGTGGGTTCAGACAGGAGCCCTGGAGCAGACTCTGGGAGCCCCCATGGGGAAGCCGGGGGCCGACCCTCTCGAGGAGCTGCCTTCATCATCCCTCAGGTTTGGTGATTACCAGATGTAATCAGATGGAGTCACTCTGATAGAGCGGATCCTTGTTTTCAATGCTCGTGGGCAGCCTGTGTCCACCTGTGTCAGATGGAAGGGGCTGAGGGGGTACGAGGGACGGTGTCTGCTCCCCCACCATGGTCCTGACAAGCCACACAGGGGGCTGAGGCGGAAACTGCTGAATTCACGAAACTTTCAAAATCCAGTCTCACTCCCTTGGCTCCAGTTCATGAGAGAAAATATCTACAAACCATCCATCCAACCAGGGACAGTTATCCAGAATTTACAAGAAACTCAAACAACTCAATGGCAAAAAACAAGTAATCAGATTTAAAAATGGGCAAACAATCTGAATAGACATTTCTCAGAAGACATATGAATGGGCAACAGGCCTGAAAAAATGCTCAACACTAATCATCAGGGAAATGCAAATCAAAATCACAATGAGATACCAACACCCGCCCCCCGCCACCACCACCGACCAGGAGGATGGTTGTTATCAAAAAGACAAAGAGTAACAAATGCTGGTGAGGAAGTGGAGAAAAGGGAACTCTTACACACTGTTGGGGGGAATGTAGATTAGTACAGCCTCTATGGAGAACAATGTGGAGATTTTTCAAAAAACTAAAAATAGAGTTACCATATGATCCAGCAATCCCACTGCTGGGATTTATCCAAAAAAAAAAAAAGGAGGAAATCAGTACACTAAGGAGACACTTTATCTCCATGTTTATTGCAGCATGATTCACAATAGCCAAGATATGGAATCAACCCAGGTGTCCATCCACAGACTATTGGATAAAGAAAATGTGGTACAGATAGAAATTAGAATACTACTCAGCCATGAAAAATGTTCAAATCCTGTCATTCATGGCAGCATACATGGAACTGGGGGACATTATGTTAAATGAAATATGCCAAGAACAGAAAGACAAATATTGCATGTTTCATTCATATGTGGAAACTAAAAGAAAGTTGATCTCATAGAAGCAGAGTAAAATGGTGGCTACCAGGCTTGGGAAGGGTTGGGGAGAGTGAGAGGGTGGTTAGCTGATACAAAATCACAGCTAGATAGGAAGAATAATTTTTAGCATCCATAGCACTGCAGGGGTCTACAGTTAACAATACTTTGAAGCAACCAGAAGAAAGGATTTTGAATGTTCTCAACATGAACTCATCAATGCTTGAGGTGGTGGGTATGCTAATTACCCTGATTTCATCACAATACACTCTAAGTGTCAGAACATCACAATTACTGTGTGCCATTTAAATAAAAAGAGCCACAGTGCTGGACACTAGGGGAGGAGTGATGTCCCAGTGTGAGATGGGAATGAAGCATGGAAGTAGGAAAACAGAATGGGCCACTCTAAACAGTGTCGACGCCAGGGCGCTTTCCACACCGGCAAAGAGCTGGGGAAGGGAGGTGGCAATGGGAAGGGCCCCAGACTACACGCCTGGGAGGGGTGGACACCAAGGCTGGCCTGCTCTTCCTGATCACTGCGCTGCAGCCTCCAGTGTCTTTCCTGAGGCGAAGAGAGGGTGGGAGGGGGCTCTCAGATTCAGATGGGGAGGATTTGGAGCAAGCAGCGAGGGACTGCGGGCCCAATACAGACGCAGCTCAGCCCCCGGCCCGCCCACTCCCCATCTGCAGCGTCCCTGCTGGTCCTTAGCAGCCTTCAGTCTCTGCTTACTCTGATTCCTCCTCCTGTCTCTCCCTCCATCCTTCTCTTTATTCTCTCCTCCACTGCCTGCTCTCTTCTTTAGCTTTGGGAGATGTTTTTAAAACTCACCCTGATCCTTATATTGAAGCCCAGGGATTTTTAGTCCTGGCTGCTCATTGGAATCCCCCAGAAAGTTCTATGACCCCCTAAATCCAGACCCCACTTTCAGAAACTGATTTAATTGATCTGATCCCAGCTAAGACCCTGACGCAGGTACTTTTTGTTTTGATTCACCAGTGACCCTAATTTGAAGCCAGTGTTACGAATCACTGATGGAGTGAGACATTTGGGGTCTGTTCTTGGGACCGTGGGTGAGTTTGCTTCAAAAGTGCATTAGCTGTTCCCGCATAGGAGGGTTCTGAAGAAGGCCTCATGGTGTCTCCCTGCCTGGAGCGCCAGAACTCAGCCCGGTTCCCAGCTAAGAAGTAGGAGCTCCATGCACCTCCTTTCCTGCCTGGGCCTCTGTGGGGGATTCTTCTGAGCCCCCTCGTCGCTGGCCTGGATTTGCCTTGGATTCTCCGGGGGCGGGTCTGCCTCCTCCCTGCCTGTGTCTTTGGGCGGTGTGACTTCCAGGGCTGTGTGACCTTCTGGGCCTTGCTCCCAGATGGACGATGTTTCCTCGGACACCTCAGCCTCAAGGAAGGGCTGTGCCTCACCAGTCTCCTGCCATTACCCCGTTCCTCTCTGCTCTCATATTCCACACAAGCCAATCCCACATCTGGGATGCCAGGCGGGGATGTGAGTAGATGGCAGGTACAGCGGGCAGCGGGCCAGCACATCTGGGTTCCAACATGAAAACAACTCCCTTTTAACATAAACTTTTTTTAAAGGCCCCAAACACATCTGCAGTCCAGTTAAGGGTTGCTGGCCACAAGTATGCAGCTTGCCTTACCCCTTCCCTCCCTTAGCCTTATGAGTTCAACCCATTTATCCAGCACCGACTGTAAACCAGGCATGTTGTGGGCTCTGGGGGTAAAGCTGGGACTCAGCAAAGGCTCTGCTCTCCTGGACCCTACAGAGGACAAACAAAC
The DNA here is from genome assembly GCF_000001405.40 of Homo sapiens. Lineage (NCBI taxonomy): Eukaryota > Metazoa > Chordata > Mammalia > Primates > Hominidae > Homo > Homo sapiens. Next base: position 104,026 of record NT_187552.1, read on the forward strand.
AGCAACAGGAACGCACGTCAATGTTGTGCACAGGGAGGGTGCTCACCCTGATGGGGGCGACACAGGGAGGGTGCTCACCCTGATGGGGGCGACACAGGGAGGGTGCTCACCCTGGTGGGGGCGACACAGGGAGGGTGCTCACCCTGGTGGGGGCGACACAGGGAGGGTGCTCACCCTGGTGGGGGCGACACAGGGAGGGTGCTCACCCTGGTGGGGGCGACACAGGGAGGGTGCTCACCCTGGTGGGGGCGACACAGGGAGGGTGCTCACCCTGGTGGGGGCGACACAGGGAGGGTGCTCACCCTGGTGGGGGCGACACAGGGAGGGTGCTCACCCTGGTGGGGGCGACACAGGGAGGGTGCTCACCCTGGTGGGGGCGACACAGGGAGGGTGCTCACCCTGGTGGGGGCGACACAGGGAGGGTGCTCACCCTGGTGGGGGCGACACAGGGAGGGTGCTCACCCTGGTGGGGGCGACACAGGGAGGGTGCTCACCCTGGTGGGGGCGACACAGGGAGGGTGCTCACCCTGATGGGGGTGAGGGTGGGGCTTAGGGGAAGGCACCTCTGAGCTGTCTTTGGGTTGAAATTGAAATTAAAGGAGGGAGGAAATGGGGGAATAAAAAGTGCAAAGGCCCTGGGGCCACCTGAGCGCCCCTTGGAGAATTGTGGCCAGGCCCTAGCCAAGGAGCCCTGAGCCCAGGTGAGGTCTCAGACTTCAGGGTGGCAAGGAGACCTGGGGGCTACCCCTGCAGACCACACATGCCTGGAAAAGCTTTTGGAGTTTATTTCTGGGGCAAAGTGAAGCCAGTGAAGGGCCCGGGTAGAGGAACAAACCCCTGACTGTGTTTTAAAGGCTCACAGCCAAAGACCACAGGGACAGACCAGCCTGGTGGTCCAGGCAGGGCCGAGGTGGCTTGGGCTGGAACAGCTGCGTGGGGGAAAGGATGGCACAGAGGGTACTTGGAGGTGGGGGATGAGGAGAACCAAGGGACAGAGGATGACTCCGTGTTCGGGCCTGAAACATTGGGTAGACTGACAGTGAGGCCATTTGCTTGGCAAAACAAGGGGGCAGTGGGGTACGGACAGGAGGGCGTTGGCTGCTTTCAGCTGAGTGTCTTGTCATGTCCCATGCAGGTGCAGGAAGCACAGGGGAGGGGCCAGGGCCAAGCAAGGGCTGGTGAGTGAGCCTCAGCTGCAGGGCTGGACAGAGTCATCTGGGGGAGAGGTGGGGCAGGAGGATGCCTGGAAGCCAAGAGGAGACACTGTTCCAGAGGTGAATGCTCCATCACCACTGAGGCCAGCAGAGAAGTGAGCATGGGGGTCCTGGCCTGCTGGCTTGGACTTCCTAACTGTGGGGTACTGCCCACAGGGCCAGAGGGAAACACTTAGGGGCCCTAACCACACACAAGACCTTACAATTCTCTCCCACATGTAACTCAAATATGTATATCTGTATTTTGCAACAAGACAAATTTTAAACTATGGTTTAAAAAAAATCCCCCTGAATTTGCTGATTGCAAACTTCTTGGCAAATCTGTCCAGGCTGAACTTTTCTCCATCTTCCTCTGCTGCTGCTGTTTTGCCTGCTTTTCAAGTGCTTAGGACACTTACTTGGCCATTAGTCAGATTAGACTGGCTGCTTCTAAATTAGTCCCTTGGCCAGGATCACCTCTCTCTATAATAGAGAAATTGTTTCAGGTGCCTTCGATGGCATCCTCAGCCCAGAGCATTAAGTCCTGGTGGCATCACAGGCCTTGGCCACCCACCTAGGTCACAGCTCCCTTGACTGATCCTTCTCCACCCCCTAGGCACCTGGACTCAGGCCCCCAGAGGGCCACTCACCATCACCTGGCTATGCCTGGCATTTTCCACATCCCTGCTCCAGTGTCTGGGTGTCTGGGCAGACTTCCTGGTTCACAGATGGAGCCTTCTGGCTGTGCCCCCACGGGGCGGAAGGAACAAGGCAGCTCCCTGGGGCCTCTTTTGTAGGGGCACTAATCCCACCATGAGGCTCCACCCTCCGAACCTCATCACCTCCCAAAGGCCCCACCTCCTAACACTGTCACCTTGTGGGTGAGGTTTCAGCCTAGGAATTTGGGACGCTTGCGCATTCTGCCTGGAGCATTAACCACGTATCTTCCCTGTGTTTGCCAAGGATGTGTCCGGAGACTTTAGTCAGTCCTAAAATTCTCCCTCCCGCTAGTGAGTGACCTGAGCAGTGCATCCTGCAGCAGCCCAGCCCTCAGGTGTTCATCCTCCAGCAGCGCAGCCCTGCCCACCCTCGGGAGGAGGAGGGGCCCGGCGCTGACACCTGCGGCCTTCTCAGTGCCACAGCCGGGCTCTGCATCCCTGCAATGCTCCACAGCTGCAAGGCTGCTCACTCACTTTGCACAGTGGCTCCCAAACCCCATTTGCAATTTTCCCTCCGAGACCCTCACAGCAGCTGGGGCCTCCTCTTCAGGCCATGTGTCCCTTCTTCAAGAGTCAAAATGAGAACAAGTCCGTCTCTTCCTTTTCTTCCTCCAAGCTTGGGGAGGCAGCAGCTTCCTCTCTGGCCCCCAGTTAAGGACCTTCTACCTACGGATTCCCTACATCAAGTCCCTCATGGGAATTATCTGTTCTGGTAGCTTCCGTGGCTTCTTTCTCTTCCCAGACCCTGACAGATGACCACGCGTGGCTTGCTGAAGCCATAGCTGTATGAGGACACTGGCAGAAACGGCTGCTGTTCTTCTTGCTTCCCAAAGGGCAGAGATACCTCGAGTCACAGAAGGATGAGGAAGCGTCTTCTCACACCCCTGACTTCATCTGCTGGGAGCTGGTGGCTGAGGGCGGCTGGTTTGCTCTAACCCTTCAACACCGATGAGTGGAAAGGGCCAAGGAAGCAACCCCCGCAAACTGCCTGGTTGCCAAGAGGTCTCCCAGGTAGGGGACAGACTCGGGTCCTGCCGGCAGCTGCGCAGGGAGGGTCTCCATGACGCAATATCTCCACACCACGGCAGGGGGCGCTGTTCACGTGCGCGAGAACGCTCCTTAGTGACCAGAGCCTTTGCTCCAGGGACAGGAGCTGCCTCAGAGCACAATTTGCTGCTTTGAAAAGGGATTTAGAACAGGAATTCCCTCAGACTTGGTAACAGTAGATGCCGTGTGAGCGGAAGAGCATCTTCAGGGAAAACGTGTGAGAAATGGGGGAGAGGAAACCTGACTCCAAATAAACCAAGAACACGGCAGAAATTAAGGAGCTCGCAAAAGCTGTGAGAGGGCAGCGAGTTGCCAGTTCATATAAATGAAGAGATCAGCAGAGTCCACCGCCGACTGGTTGCGAAGAAGTCTAAAAACAGACCCAAGGATTCGGAAATTCGGGGCCGTCGTAGAGCCACTCATTTCAGTAGAACAGTAAGTGCAGAAACCAGATTTATACACACAGGTATATACATGGATACACACATCTATACACACACTAGTTTTCTATTTGTGTTTTAAAATTTAACTTTTTATTTTGATGTTTAAAGAGTACATACAAATGTAGAAAGGACTGTGTAATGAACTCCCATGTACCAAGTACCACCTGATTAATAATTAAGTGGCTTATGACTAATAATTATTGACTCACGACTCAACTTGTTTAATCAGTTTCTGCCTGTCCCCACTCTCTATCTCTCTTTCTCTTTGGATTGGAGTATTTTCTGGCCATCCCAAAAGATATAATTTTATGTAACTACTGTGTCTCTAATGGATAAGGGCTTTTTAAGAGCAGCAGAGGGAGAGAATTGGGACAGAACCCAGAGCCACAGGGAGAGCTGTGTCCTTGAGCAGCACAGATCCGAGGCAGCGCCTCTGGTTGCCCAGCTAGTTTAGAAGCATGATCAAACATGTGACATGAGAAGCAATATTTACCCTTCTAAAATGTGGCTTCAAGGATAGATTGGTTTAAGCCAAGCCTCCTTTACTTTTCCAAATAAGAACAGACACACACTGATAGGAAATGAAACAGGAAATGGCCCCCCTGGCTAATGTGTGGGTAGGGTGAGATGATTCCTTTAACTTGCTCAGCATGAGTGCCTTCTCAGGATGTGACAGGAGTTCATGTCGGGATTTAAGAACATGGACTTCTTGGATCTGTTGGTTGTATGTTCTTGGGAAAGTTACTTATGCCTCAATTTCACCTGCAAATTGGGGTTAATAATGTTTAAGGTCACAAGGTTGTTCCAAGGATAACACGAGAGGGTGCATGTAAAGAGGTGGGTGTAGCACCTGCCGTGTAAGAACTGCTCAGCCTACATTAGCTGTAATGACGATTGGTGAAGACACCCGCTTGTTAACTGTTGTGTTCTGTGAGCCCCCCAGAAGCACCTTGTCCGTAATTATCACACAGAAGGCCTTTTCCTCCACTTTCACCGTACACAGAAATAATATGTAAGGCCCAGACTTAAAATGTAGGCTGTCATTTTTTTCCTACTCGAAAATAATAGAGAGAAACATTTCTTTTTTTCTTTTTATTTCTAGTGCACCTATATATGTGTAAGAATGGTTTATTACTCTCGATCTTCTAAGTTAATTTTGGGGGAAAATAGTAACTCCTTCAAGACTCTAGAGTTTCCTTTAGCCAATTAGACATTGTGATGACTCATCTGAGAGAGTATGAGTAGGCTGCTTATGAAATTTATTCTGCCACCCAAAGATGATAAACTTAAAGAAGTCCCTCACCCAGACACAGCATAATAAAACAGCTGAAAACCAAACACGAAGAAATCTTAAAGTCAGCCAGAGGAATCAGCACGTGACGCACAGGGAGCAAAAATCCAAAGGAGCGTGGATTCACCTTCAGGAGGAGCCCTGGAGTCCTCAAAGTGGCACAGCAGGCCCAGAGCATGGAGGAAAAGAGCTACGCACCTTGAACCTTATATCCAGCAAAAGTGTCTTTCAGCAATGAATGTGAAATACAGACAGTCTCAGATGAAGACAAACTAAGAATTTATTTCCAATTTACCTGTGATAAAAGAAGCGCCACAGAAACTTCAAGCAGAGAGAAACAGTAAGGATAATCTGGAACTTCAGGAATGAAGGGAAAGTGACAGAAATGATAAATGTCTGGGTGAATAAAATAGGCCTTTTTCTCGGTGTGTATGAGGAATGAAGGCAGCATCCATAACACTGGTCTTTTCAGCTAACGCAGAGGTCCACACAGAGGGGAGGGCACGGGGCCAGCGGAGGGCATGGAGGCCGCTGTGGAAGTGGCTTCTGTAGTCCACATGAAACAGCAAAATGTTATCCTCAGTAGACTGTGAAAAGTTAATTGTGTAAATTGTAATTCGTACGTGAACCACACACCCACACAGCTGTGCAAAGAGATATAAACCAGACCCCAATAGACCCTTAACATGGAATATTAAAACTATTCTAAGAATCCAAATGGAGATATAAAAGGGGAAATTGATTAAAAAAATGTAAGACACAATCAGAAAACAAATCATGAAATGACATACTTAAATCCAAACACCCCAGTAACTAAATTAAATATAAGTAGCTTAAGCATATCAATCAAAAACCAGATGATCAGATTGGATATTTTAAAAAGACCAAACTGTGCTGTCTCCAGGAAGCCTACTTTAAATATAATGATGTAGGGGGATGAAAAGATGCACCACATAAACATTAATGATAATAAAAAAGCTTCGGTGGCTGCAGAGACGAGATAGACATCAGAGCCAGGAAGATTGTGGTTGATGAGGAAGGGCACTGCATGATGGTGAGAGGTCAGGTCCACAAGCAGACGTTGCCGTCCTGAGTATGCACGTGACAGAAGAACTTCAAAATATACGAAACATAAACTGGTGGGACCGAGAGGAGAAATGATGGATTAATAACTGTAGTTGGTAGTTGGAGTCTTCAACACTCCTTTATCAGTCATGGTTAGAATAGAACAGAAAATCTTCTAGAAGGAGGATAAAGAACTGAACAGCATCACCAACCACCTGGACTCACTTGACATGTGCAGAACACGCTGCCGAGCAATAGCAGCACACACGTTCTCAGGGGCACGTGAAATGTTCACTAGGGTAAATCATGCCATGGGTCATTGAAAGCTCTAACAATTTTATAAGATCTGAAATCATGCAAAGCATGCTTTTGACCACAATAAAGCTAAGCTAGAAATTAATAACAAAAAGATATTGGGGAAACTTCCAGCTACTTGAAGGCTAAATGACACACTTAGATAATGCATAGGTCAATTTTACATTTCAAAGAAATTAGAAAAAAATTTGAACTGTATGAAAATTGGAAACAGAAAAACAAGAAAGAAAATCAATGAATTCAAAACAGTTCTTAAAAATATCAACAAACTGGTAAATGACAGAGAGAAAAGAGAGAAAACAAATGATCAATATTAAGACTGAAAGAGATGATAGCATTATAGACACAACCGACATAAAAATGACAGTAATGGACCACTATGAACAACTCTACGCACCTAAATTTGAGAAGTTAAATGAAACGGCCAAGTTCCTTAAAAGCCACACACTATTAAAACACACTTAACAAGAAATAGATAAACTAAATAGTTCTGTATCAAAGAAATTGATTTTTTAGTTAAAAATCTTCCAAAAATAAAACTCCAGGTCCAGATGATCTCACTGGAAAATTCTACTAAACATTCAAAGAAGAAATATCAGAAACTGTATACAGTCTTTCAGAAAATAGAAGAGGAAGGAGCACTAACTTATTTTATGAAACCAGTATTATCTTGATGCCCAAACCAGGGAAAGAAGAGAAACTATGGACCAGCAGCCCTCATCATCATCAATTCTCAACAGAATATCAGCCAATCAAATCGAACACTATATGAAATAAATAATCCATCACAATGAAATGGGCTTATTCCAGGAATGCAAGGCTGGTTCTACTTTTGACAATCAATCAATGCAATTCACTATATTAACAGACTAAAAAAAAAAACTATGTGATTTTGTCCACGGATGAAGAAAAAGCATTTGACAAAATTCAGCATCTAGTCATGACAAAAACTCTCAGCAAACTAGGAAGAGAAGGGAATTTCCTTAACCTGATAAGGCGTATTTATTAAAAAAAAATTCACTATGGCTGATATCAAGATAGTGACAGAGCAAAGGGTTTTCTCCTAAGATTTGGAACAAGGCAAGGGTGTCCATTCTCACCACTCTTATTCACCATCACACTGTAAACCCTAGCCAGCAAATGGAGCAAGAAAAGGAAATTAAAAGGCATGCAGTTGAAACAAAAAAAAAACTGTCCCTGTTCATAGGTGATGTGATTATTTATGTAGAAAATTCCAAGAAATGTACAAAAAAGGCTGCTAGAACTAATAGGTATGTTTAGCAAGGTTGCTGGATAGAATGTCAACATTCAAAATTAATCATATTTCTATATACTGGCAATGAACAGCTGAAAACTTAAACACACAACTACACATACACACATTTGTACACACATACACACCATTTACGATAGGGACAAAAAATGATTAGGTATAAACCCAGCAAAACATAGAGGCTTTATAAGCCAAGAACTACAAAACACTGATGGAAGAAATCAAAGAATATCTAAATAAATTGAGAGACACATTGTGTTCATGAACTGGAAGACAGAACTTAGTTATTTGTCAATATTGTCTACATTGATCTATTGATGTAACACAATTTCAATACAAATTCCAACAGGATTTAAAAAATAGATATAGGCAAGCTCATTCTGCTATTCACATGAAAGGCAAAGAAACTAAAATAGCTAAAATAATTTTGAAAAAGAAAAAAAAAGTTGGAGGACTCACATTGCCTGCCATTAATACTTAACATAAGGCTACATTAGTCAAGACAGTGTTATTGGCGGGGACAGAAACACGTATCAGACGAACAGAATAGAGAACCCAGAAATCTACATACACAAATATTGTCCAGTGGCCTTTGAAAAGGGTGGAAAGGCAATTCGATGGGGAAAGGATAGACTTTTCCACAAATGGTGTGAAAAACTGGGCATCCATATGCCAGTACAAGCAAACCAACCATCTTGCTCTAAACCTCAAACCTTCTACAAAAGTTAACTGAGATTGAACTACAGAGCTAAATGTAAAACATAAAACTAAAACTTTAGGAGACTTTATAGGAGAAAATCTTTGTTGCCTGGGGTTAAGCAAAGGATTTCCAGATTCAGCACCAAAATCACGATGCAGAAGAGGAAAAATCGATACATTTAACTGTATTAAAATTAAAAACCATTGCTCATGAAAGACATATTTAAGAGAAGGCTGGAAGAAACCAGTTTCCAATCATGATATCTGACAGTATAAAAAGAGCTCTCAAAACTCCACAATAAGAAAATAAACAACCCAACTTAGAAAATGAGCAGAACGTTGGAAGAAACTTCCCCATAGATATTATAAGGACAGCACATGAAAAGAATGAAAAAATTGGGAAGAACATTCTTTATTTGAGCTAAAAACATGTCCTGATTTATTATTAGTCATATATTAGCCTAAGAAATGTTTGTCCTCATTGTAGACTGTCGTAATTTTTCCCAACAATAAATCTTTATGATGCACCTACTGTGTGCAAAGCACAGACTTCTTGGGCCAATCCCACAGAGAAATCGGGTCATTCTCGCCAGCTACTGGCATCATTTTCCTCTGCAGTTTTGGATGCTTTCACCTTAAAATCCTCTTAGGATGTGTAGTGGGAAGAATAATGGCCCCCAAAATGTTTGTGTTTTAATCCTCAGATCCTGGGAATGTGTCTTGCACATGGCAAAGAGGGATTCAGGCAGCTGGAATTAATGTAGCCAAGCGCCCGCCCTGAAGTAGGGAGCTGATCCTGGGTTGTCAGGCTGGCCGCTGTGATCCCAGGGCCCTTCACCTCGGAAGACACCCACATCAGAAGGGCTGTACTGACCATTGCTGGTCTGAAGAGGGAGGACAGGCCATGAGCCCAGAACGCAGCGGCTCCTAGAAGCTGGAAAACAGGAGTCACCCCTGAAGCTTCCAGGAGACAGCCCTGCCGACACCTTGATTTCAGCCTGTGAGACCATTTCCGACTTCTGGCCCACAGAATGCTAGGACAGGCCTGAGTCTGTGTCACCCGCCACAGCAGCCATCAGCAGCTGACACAGGTGTCCTGTGTTCTGCCCACCGGCTCTGGGGTCCCTTGGGTGCTGATGAGAAGTGCAGCTTCCTGGACTTCACATGCAGGGGCTGAGGGACCCCAGAGCCTGTGCTGGCCACCTCCCAGCCTGCCCACGTGGCTGGGGCGCTGCCCCAAACACCCTTCGTGCCAGCCCCCCGCGGGGCTTTCCAGGCAGCAGGCCCCCAGGGAGCAGAAACCAAGGAGCAGGGGCAGTTCCTGTTTCTTCCGTCCTAATTAGAAATCCAGCCTTCTTCTGGGGCCAGGTGCCATGGCCGAAGTCATCTTGACTTCTCATCAGCTTGTGTGCTTGAATGAGATTTCCACAGCACCGGCCGTTAGAAGGCCGTGGATGGAACACGGGTGAAGACTCTCCATTGCCTCCTGACAGCTTTGTCCTGGGTGGGTCTGTCTGTGACCGCTCTCGGGTGACTGTCACGCTCATCACGTTAAAAACGATCTCCATCTCCCTCTGTCACCCTCTGCACCCCCGGCTGCAGGACGCGAGGTGGGGACACAGCACGGGCTGACAGATGGTGACGCTTGGCTGTGGTGCTGACAGACCAGCCGGGGACCTCGTGTGGGAGGACCAATTACCACCGCATCCCCTCAGGGAAGAGCCTCTCAGCTGCATGTGGGGGCTCATGATAAATGAATTGGAAGGAAAAGATTGCACTCTGAAGGCCATATTCCAAGGATTTGTGTCAGCAGGTTGTAATTAGTTAATTAAATGCCCGGCTGGCGCGATGGCCCCATGGGGCTGCTCCCGAAACAAGGGCAGGAACGTCCTGGAATCTGCATGCAGGGCCACAGCCCGCACCTCCCAGCACATGAGCCCCTTTTCCAGGGAAGGTCACTGGGAGATTTGGGAAGAGTCTTTGGGGGTATTCAGTGTCTGAAGTCACTGAAATGAAAAGGAGATGGAGACATCCGTGATCACAGAGCTCTGGGCGGAGCAGGCAGGGATGAAGAGGGTGAAACGATGGATGCCGGAGCGCAGGGACTGGCGAGGGAGAGGGTGACGCAGGCTAAGGAGAGGGCGAGAAGCTTCCCAGATGTTAAAGCGCCCAGACTCCGTTTTCAAAGTAGCTTTGAGCGTGAGGGCCGTGGCGCAGGCTGTTTGATGCATGTAATAACGATGCGTCCAGAGCTCCGGACAATGCGTGAGTTGATGCTGAACACGCGCTAGGCCCAATGACATGAGCCGAAACCCAAACCCCGCCCCACACCGTGCAGCTGCCCTGAGCCCAAGCCTCCCGGAGTCCCAGAGCCCGCCTGTAGGTGTTGCGCTTACACCTTGGGTCTCCCTGACTCATAAAGGCGCTTGGGAAAGGCCTCCCGTATGGACGCCCCTGTCTCCCTCACACCCCTGCTGCCCCCATCGAATCCCCTGCAACGCCCACCTAGGAGCACCCTGAGGCATAACGCAGTTCCAAGTCCTGCTCCTCAAGCCTCAGTCCGGCCACGGAATTCCCAGTGGAGACAGCAGTCGCGGAGCATTGGTCTCCACACCACCTGCTCTCCTCATCTCAGTGACTTAGAAATTAATTCAGGGCAGTGCCCCAGCCATGCGGGCAGGCCAGGAGGTGGCCAGCATGGGCTCTGGGGTCCCTTGGCCCTTGCACAGTGAGGTCCAGGAAGCTGCGCTTCTCATCAGCACCCAAGGGACCCCAGAGCAGGTGTGCAGAGGACCACACTGAAAACCCTCCCAGGAGCGCCAGATGCCCGTGCCAGCTGCCAATGGTTGCTGTGGCAAGTGACACAGACTTAGCCACAAGTGACACGGGTGCACTAGCCACAAGGATCTTTGAAATACGCAGATCAACTCACGCTACTCTCCTGCCCCAAACCATCAGTAAGTCCCCGTTGGTCCTGAGTAAAGCTGCCCTCTTCGCCTGGCTGCCGAGCCTCTGTGCTGCTGGCTGCCCTTCTCTCCCAGGGCCTCGCCATGCCCACTCCACGCCATGCCCACATCATGCCCACACTACAGCATGCCCACTCCACCCCATGCCCACATCATGCCCACTCCACGCCATGCCCACATCATGCCCACACTACAGCATGCCCACTCCACGCCCACCCACACCCAGTCCACACCACACCACACCCACTCACCACGCCCACACCACACCCCGCCCATGCCATGCCCACTCCACAGCACGCCCACTCCACACCACGCCCACCCACGCCCACTCCAGACCACACCACGCCCACACACCACGCCCACAACACGCCCACCCACGCCCACTCCACACCACGCCCACCCACACCCACTCCACACCACTCCCACTCCACACCAGAACCCACTCCACGCTACACCCACACCACGCCCACTCCACACCATGCCCACTCCACACCATGCCCACTCCACACCACACCCACCCACGCCCACTCCAGACCACACCACGCCCACACACCACACCCACAACACGCCCACTCCACGCCATGCCCACCCACACCCACTCCACACCAGAACCCACTCCACACTACACCCACACCACGCCCACTCCACATCATGCCCACTCCACACTATGCCCACCCATGCCATACCACACCCACACCATGCTCACAACACACCCACTCCATGCCGCGCCCATGCCACGCCCACACCACACCATGCCCACAACACACCACGCCCACTCCACACTACACCCACTCCATGCCGCAGCCACTTCACTCTTTTTGCAGGCCCTCTGGTGTCCCAGGACAATGGCCGTCTCAGGGCCTGGCACTGCAGCTGTCCTGCTGATCTTCACCTGCCAATCCTGTTTACTAAAGAATATGGCACTCCTCTCCTGTATTCTCCAATTGTTAGTTTCTCCATTGATTCTCCAGGGTTTTCCAGAACAATCATGATGACATCTGCAAATAATAATCATCTTTTTATTATCAGATAATAATATTTTATTAGCAAAATAAATGCTGAATAGCAGAGAGTGGCCAGGCACGTGTCACACGCCGGCGAGGATGCTGTGTCCCCACCCCCACCCCTCTTTGCTGACCACTGGTGACCTTCACGCGGAGAGCACACTATTGGAACTAGTTCCCTTTCTGTGGCCAATGAAGAAACTGAAGAAGCAAAATCAGAACTTAGCAACGACCTTCCTCGCTGGGAAGACCTGGTCCCCAGGACGATGATTCCTCTCATGACAAAGAAAACACCCAGGTGGCTTGAGAGGAAGGAGAAAGGCCACATTCTCCAGGGACCCAGGGAGTTCCAGAGAGGACGGCTGGGCCTTGCAGGCCCCAGGCCTGCCCGGAACCCAGATCAGAATTTACTGCAGTCCTCCTTTGGCAGGGCCATCTTTATCTCATGTATTCTGTAATCTTTTGGAAATTTGGAAGAAAGATGTTCTCAGGGAGTGCTGATGGAATAGTGTGAACCCAAAATATCTGAGGCAGGTCTCAGTCAATTTAGAAAGTTTATTTTGCCAAGGTTGAGGGCGCGCCGTGACACAGCCTCAGGACGTCTGGTGATGGTGGCCGGGGCCCAGCTTGGTTTTATACATTTTAGGGAGACATGAGACATCAATCAATGTATGTAAGATGTACATTGGTTCTGTCCAGAAAGATGGGACAACTCAAAGCAGGGAGGGGGCTTCCGGTTATAGGTAGATCAGAGACAAATGGCTGCATTCTTTTGAGTTTTTGATTAGCCTTTCACTGAATGCACAATTTACTGGAATAGTTACGTATGCCTTAGTCTGGCTGAGTGAAACAACAGGGCGGAGGAAGCATTCCGATCTGTGTTTGTCTCATGTGAACAGAGGGATGACTGAGTTCTGTCTGTCCTTCGTCCACGAGGAATTTCCTTGTGGTCAAATTGTGAGGGTGGTCTGTAGCTTGTTAAAAATCTTCTCAGCCATCTTATTTAGGAATAGAATGGGAGACAGGTTTGCCCAACACAGTTTCCAGCTTGACTTCCCTTAGGTTTAGTGATTTTGGGATCCTGAGATTTATTTTCCTTTCACAAGAGACTGCAGGTGTTGCTGCAGTGTCTAAAACACAACTGTATATTTTGAGTGGACTCAATCCATCAGTTGAATTTACTAGGTCTTCAAAAGCGAGTGGCAGTTTGTCGCTGGCGGCAGCCCTTCTGGTCCCCGGGGAGGATCGGTGTCTTTTAGGACAAGAATTTTATCCTACACCCCGTGGCTGTCTTCCTAAGCCAGTACTTTTTTGGAGCTGCAGCGGTCAGGCTCAGAAAACCAAGACAGTTCCCACCCTATTTATTTTGTTTTACTAGAGATTAATCTGTCCAATGGGAAGCAATTGTCAACTGATACTCAATAGATGTTCATTTATTTAATTGTACTGAATCAAACCTGAGGATGACTCTTCTGAACTCTGGAAGATGAGATACACATTTTCGGGGGAAGAGAGCTCTGCTGCCCCCTCCTTCCGGCTGCTTCCCACTTCCATGGTCCGCCCTGGTCTGGCGAGTCCCTGTGCTCCTTCCCCGTTAGACCTGGACACCTTCCCAGCGGCCCCTTGAATTCACTAGTTCTGTTCTTTCTGTGGACTCTTTGCCAATCCCAATGCTGCACTGAGTTCCCTTCTAAGTCTCATCTCCTTGAGAAGTTATTTCTGACCAGGTGAGTCTGTAATTCTTTCCCCCTCTTTTGAATGGTTATACCAGTTATTGTTTAAACCACTCCTTTGGAACTTAAATACTAACACTAAATCATAAAATATATATTTTATATCTGCATCTGCCTTTCACTTATCCCCAGTAATACTTTCTGAGAACAGGGACTGTCATATATTTTGTTGAATGATACATTGCTTTTCTCATGTCAGAATCTCAACAGACATTTGAAAATTAATCATGGATTAGCTTCAGGTTATTTTCGTGGCCTCGCTGCTCCTATGTTCTCCTCTATTCTCAGTTAGCTCATTTTTAACCTTTAAATTTATCTATTTGTGAGACTTTGTGATCCTTCCTAATGAGATCTTGAGCCACTAAGATGGAATTATGAGGGCTAGTCCAAGGAGAGGAGTACAGCTGTCTTAGGTTGTAGAGTTATTTAATCACCACTAAGTCTGACTGGACCCCCAAACTCAGACTAACCTTGTGCTGGCCATGTGGCAGACCAGTCTCATCATCACCTTTCCCAAGCAAAGAGGTGTGAGCTGCAGTCACACCTACATCCGGTCTAAGCTGCACCCAAGGTGTGCTCAATCTGGACCTTCGGAGCCCCTCTGGGAAGGAAGGGGTCCCTGCCCGGGCAGGCCCAATGAAGCCATCTGGAAGCTTCACAGCTAAACTGCCTCTTGAGGAAGCATCCAGGTAGCCATCCTTCTCCTCATTAGCCACTCTGCAGCTTCGAGTCATGTTGCTCAAGGATTACTTACAGGCAGTTGCCTGGGCTGCATCCCCATCACTGTTCCAGCAAACAGGAAATGACAGGGATCCTGGGTCTCCCCATCTCCTGCCTGGAGAATGAGAATTCTCCAGCTAAGGTACCATTTTGGCCTGGGTTGCATGAGATTGGGCTGTCGGTTTAGGGGATGCAGAGCTGACATTACTAGGTTATTGTCTGTCAAGACGAGTGGCATAGGTGTTCAGGCTCTTTATATAATTTATAACCTTAAAGTGATTATTTCAATAGCTGTAACTTCACAGATGACTACCTAGCTTCTGACTTTTGAGGCCATTTTTTCCAAGTCTGGGCAAGACTGGATGTGAAGGAGGCTAGCTTGTAGCCAGTGAATTGCCTTTACACAGAGCGGACCATCCATCCATGTGACATAGAAACTATGTCCCAAATCATGCTGTATTTGATCCCACTTTCTGGGTAGAGAGCCGACATTGTTTAGTGAAAGGTTTAATTCCAGCCGAATTGTCATGGGACTGTAGTGATGGTTTTGTGCCACTGACACCATCTTGACTCAGTATGTTAATGAAAGGGTTGGCGTGACAAGGACATATGAACGTGATGAGCCTTTCTCATCAATAGTTACTATTTCAGATGCTCCTCATTTTACTTAGTGAGTATACAGTTCTCAAAAAGTTGAGTGTAACAAGATCACTGTAAATGGAGCCATTTCATGTGCACAGGGCAGCTCCGTCTTCTAAGAGAGTTTTGATGATGAGAGAAATGTTGACCTGGAACATGGTCTCAGTCCCTCCTTCCACGTTTTCAGGTCTCTTTTCCTCCATCCCCAGTGCAGGACTGTACTGATCCAGAGCAACATTCAGCTGCCACCCCAGCAAGAAATGCCCACGGCTGTGAAAAAGGAAACATCCCGGGGTGTGGCTCACTCTGGGTGGGGGTTTCCCACCAAAAGGAACGGCAGTGTCACTCTTTAAAGACGACATCCAGCTTCATCCATGTCCTTGCAAAGGACATGAACTCACCCTTTTTATGGCTGCTAAACTGCACATTCTGCACATGTATCCCAGAACTTAAAGTTAAAAAAAAAAAAGACGACGTCCAGCAGGATTAGAATGATGTCTGTACCTGCTACCACGAGGCCAGCCAAAACAAAACCCACAACAAAACCCGAGGCCAGCCAAAACAAAACCCACAACAAAACCCGAGGCCAGCCAAAACAAAACCTACAATAAAAGCGAGAGAAAAAGGTGTGCAAGATTGCATACTTTACGATAGAAACCAGGTGGAGGCAACCATGCTTTACGATAGAAACCAGGTGGAGGCAATCGCATGTACATAGCTAGAATAAAATAGGCAAATGCCATATTATGCAAATATATTTTGGAACTCATTGAAGACAAAGCACAAAGCAGAATTTTAATATGCAAATAAAAACTAGTTTTATAGAAAATATTTGCATGTGTGCTGAAAAGCCTACAGATTTATGGTGTGGTAACGGAAGAAAGCAGACCCAATCAACTTGCTTGTGCCTCACGGAATCCCTGGGACTGACGGATTTCTGGCAGCTGGGTAACTGAACTACGCAGCTCGTAAGTGTGGACGTGTTTCCTGTGGATGTCCCACTTGCCGTATCACTCCTCCTTTTTGCAAAGTCAATGAAGGCATCTTGGCAGACGTGAGCCTGTGAGGGAGGCCCCCGCTGACAGGCTGTGGGCTGCTCTGAGGTAGTGGACTTCCACGAGTGGGTCCTGAAGGCTTGGCACAGCTCCCATCTTGCCTTGATTAGATGCTCTCACCTGGCTGGTGCCACGGCCAGGCCGTACCTCCTCATCGGCCTGGACACCTGCCCTCCTGGAGCTTGGCTCCCAGTGCTGCTCCTTGGAGACAAGCTCTGGTGCCCTCTTGCTGCCTCTTCCCTCTTCTGCCCCCAAAGCAGCCAGTATTTAAGGACCCCGGCCCGAGATGCTGCCCATCCTTTTCCTTCCATGGCAGGTAGGGCACTGGAACTGTACGCCCTGGAATGGAGCTCAGAGCTCTTCAGCTGGTACCAGCATGGTTACTTCAGGGACACAGGTGCGTGTCTGAGCCTCCTGCAGGGCCGAGGTGCTCAGCTGCCTGCTTGAAATGCTTTGTTTACTCCTGTCTTTCCTCTTCTCTCACTCTTCTCCAGCCTTCCTGTGAACATAAAGTTACACCCGCTGCTTCACCAAGTTGGTGGACAGAGTGATCAGGGTGGATATTTTCGGGAGAAAATGAGCACGGTGGCCCTGTTCATCAGGGACCAAAACTGGGGATGATGCCTCCGAGACCGGTGTACAGACAGGAAACAGGTGTTACAGGTGGGGAGCCACCTACTTAGGCTCACAGGTCCTTGTAGGAACTGTGGCAAGCTGGACCGACAGCCCCTTAGGAGTAGATTCGGCCTGTGTGCTCCACATTCAGATGCACCTGGACCTGAATCCCCACCGCACCACTGTGAGTGAGCTTGAGCCACCGAACTCAGCTTCTCACCTGCAACCGGGGCTCCCATCTCCAGATCCCATGAGGTTATAGTAGAGATCATGTAAGACAGTAACATGCAAAGGTTAGTGTCTGCCAGAGCCCAGGAAACGTGATCCACTGTCATTCCCCTCCAGAAGTTCTATGGAAGCCACTGATGACAAGCACACATTTATTAATGCGTGTGCGTGATCTCTTCCCCAGGGCTGCGTTTCTCCTGAGGAGCCTTGGCTGTCAGAAGCAGCGTGGCGCCTGCAGCAGTGCCGTGTTCTGGCGCCGGTCATGGAATTTATTATAAGGGGGGTACTGGGGAGAGACCACGAAGTGGTTAGGAGGGAAGGGCCGGGTTCCACCTCTTTCGGGGCTGGCAGGACCCTGATCCTTTCGGGGTGAGCTCTCATTGGCTGAGGAGGGTGTGGGGCCCTGCAGAGGTCGCCCCAGGGAACAGCACCTTGCACCCTCTCCTGCTCCCTGTGCCTGGGGAAACCACACATTCTTGAATGGTTGCCTCCAGGGCTTATGATTTTGGGGAATCAACATGCAGCCCTCCCTGCTCCATCACCTCCCAGCAAGTCCCCAGGGGTACGGCATCCCCAGCCCCTTTTATCTGTGGTCCCCACACTCAGCTGTCACTGCTGGGGGTCTTGAGTTGCAGCCCCATTTGGCGTTCATTACCAAAGGAGGGTGGGACACCAGGCATGTTTCGAGGGAATCAGCCTAGCGTTGGCAGCCGGATGGGATGAGGCTTTTCCAGGTGCAGGAGCACACGGGCCACAGGTGTCAGAGGAAGGGAGCAAGGCACACCTCTATCCTCCCCAGGAAATGGGATTTGCTGGCTGCAGAGGAGCCTGTGGGAGCTCCCTGATGCCCCGGAGAGGACATGATGTGCTCTCAGAGGCTCAGCACCTGTCAGTCAAAGCTGAGGTTCGCCAATGTGTTTGGGAGGTTGTGTGTCCTGCCTGGTGGATGCGTGTGAGGCTGTCAGTCACTCGGGCTGGCTCTCCAGTGCCTTGAGGAGCCTCCTGAAGAGGTCAAGCTCAGCCAAGCACTCATGACCTTCACGGAGCTTCCAGGCCGAAGCTAGGAGCACCTTGTTTCATCAAGAGGCCGCAGCAGCCTGGCCCCACCTGAGCTCACGCCCGGCCTTCACACGCCTCCCTTCAGCAGCACCTCAGTTGACCCTCAGTCATTGCAGATTCGCCACTTGTGAAACTACCCACTTGCTGAATTCATTTTCCCCAAATCAGTACTTGGTGCTTTTATGGTGTTTTGATGACATCGGAAGAATGATGAAAAGTCTGTGTCTCCAAGGCCCAGGTTCCCAGCAGAGTGGCCACTGCCCTCTGGTTTCAGCTCATGCTGTAAACAAGTGCTCTCCACACCGTAGTTAGTCTCACATTTTCATGCTTTTTGTTAGAAATTTTGCTGTTAAACACAGCCTCAAGCGCCGTGAGGAAGTGCCGTTGCTAGTCTTCCTGGGTGAGGGGAGGCGGTGCTGTGCCTCACGTTGAGAAGCTGCCCTAGGCAGTGACTTGGGTGTTGACATGGTTTGGCTCTGCGTCCTGCACAAATCTCAGGAGAAACTGTAATTCCCAGTGTTGGAGGAGGGGCCTGGCGGGAGGCAACTGGGTCACGGGGGCAGATTTCCCCCTTGCTGTTCTCGTGATCATGAGTGAGTTCTCATGAGATCTGGCTGTTTGAAAGTGTGTAGCACCTCCCCCTTCTCTCTCTCTCTTCCTCCTCCCGCCATGTGAGACGTGTCTGCTTTCCCTTTGCCTTCTGCCATGATTGTAAGTTTCCTGAGGCCTCCCCAACCATGTGGAACTGTGAGTCAGTTAAACCTCTTTTCTTTATAAATTACCCAGTCTCAGGTATGTCTTTATAGCACTGAGAGAACGGACTAGTACAAGTGTTAACAACCCATATTAAATCAGGTGTCTTTTAACAGAAACACACATAAAACAAGCTTATGTATTGATTGGCTGATGAGAATGGGACCAGAGGCTTTCAGGAGATTCACCAGAGGAGTGATGGTTCGGGACTCACTGACTCAATGTTGGCAGTGACTTGATGGAACATAATGACAGTGAGGAGCTGCCGTCACTTTAGGATATCTCTTTCCTCATCCTTTCCGTCTGCCTCATTGAGCTGCCAACTCACTGCTGAGTCAGCACCACCCAGCAAAGATATTCCCAGATCCTGGACTTTCAGAAATGGTGTGAGATCATCAATATTTGTTGACTAGGCTGCTAAGTGTTTGGTGACTTTGTTTCGGAGCCATAGATGGCTGACACGCAGGCTTCATCCACAGAAGCAGGAGGCTGCACTAAAGACCATGCTGGATCCCTCGGCTGCTGGTCCTGGGGTCCTGTTGCACTCACCCTGTTGGCGTGGTCTCCCCTCTGGAGCCTGACCCTCTGCCCATCACCTGTAGTGTCTGCAACGCAGGGAAACAGCTGGGCAGGGTTTGTTAGAGACAGCTGCTTGCGGGAGGGATGGGACTTCCTCTGCAGGCACAACACTCATTGGCACTGCTCGGGGACTCCCAACTTTCAGAATTCTGAAGGCAACCCACAAATAGGTTGAGAATGTTAGTATTTCCCCCAATTTAACAAAAGTAGAAATACCAAGTGGATACAATACAAAAGCTTACAACTTATTATTTTTTTTTTTTTGAGACAGAGTTTCGCTCTTGTGGCCCAGGCTGGAGTGCAATGGCACGATCTCAGCTCATGGCAACCTCCGCCTCCCGGGTTCAAGCAATTCTCCTGCCTTAGCCTCTCTAGTAGCTGGGAATACAGGCATGTGCCACCACACCCGGCTAATTTTGTATTTTTAGTAGAGACGGGGTTTCTCCATGTTGGTAAAGCTGGTCTGGAACTCCTGACCTCAGGCGATCTGCCTGCCTCAGCCTCCCAAAGTACTGGGAAAACAGGCGTGAGCCACTGTGCCCGGCCATTTTGTCTTCTTCATTATTCTCTTCCAGATAAGGTTTCTGGCTGCATGAATACCATTGCCCCCCTTTCACCTCGAAACTCAATCGCATAAACACTTTTGATTCATGTTTAGCCGGTGGTTATTAAGGGATCTAAGTCTTCTTGCCTCACCTTTCATGGAGAATCCCTTCTTGGGCAGAATGAGGCTGGCCTGAGTGCCCATCTTCACAGAACTATTTTGGCCTCTCCTTCCACCACTATCTGGGTGTAGTGAGAACGAAGCTCCGGCTTCTCAGCAATGGTGGTTGGTGTTTAAAAACCTTCAGTTGGTTTCAGGACAGGCACTGCCGGAGCTCCACACGAAGCTCTGCAGCCACGCCCAAGGGCAGCCTGTTCTGTTGGCCACACAGGGCCCTGCGTGTCACTTGTCATGTGTAACAAATCTCCCAAACAGCAGCCGGCAGCACCCCAAACCCACAGGCCCGCTTGGCCACCACATTCAGCAGCTGTTACCTTTGCTCATCAATGGCCGTTCAAACGGCTGCCTATTGATCGTGGGCCTAGAAAGGCACAGCTGAGCTCGTTCAAAGACGTTTGTCACGGAGCCACAGGTTTCCATCTTGACCTTCTTGCCCTGGTTTTCATTCCTCCTTCTCTTCTCCCACATTCCTCCGACTCTCACTTTTGTTTGCAAACCTCTGGCAAAATGCAGCGTCATTCTTTTTAGGTCGTAACAGTCATGGTGGCCGTTGTGCTCCAGCTCTCAGGACACGGGGTCAAGGGCATGGAGGTCCCTTCAGGAGTTGGGGGAGGCTGGCTCTCCGCCTGTCCACGTGGGCAGGTCAAGGGAGTGGAGGTTCCGTCAGGAGTGGCGGGAGGCTGGCTCTCCACCTGTCCACCTGGGCAGATGAAGGGTGCAGAGGCGCCTTAAGGAGCGGTGAGAGGCTGGCTCTCCGCCTGTCCACTTGGGCCGATGCTATCTCCGAGCTGCAGCCTCAAATTGGCTTTGTGCATCTCAAGGCTGGGGAGGAGCCTGCATGGAGGTGCCAGTGTCTGTGCAGGGGCCACGGGATGCTGAGCTCAGGGCTGCTGTCTGCACCCCTTAAATGGAAGAATGGAGTGCTGGGGAAACAGGATGGGCTGTCTTCCTGGAGAAGAAGAACTGGAGACCACAAATCCTGTTAGAAACCACGGACTGTGGACTTTAGAGGCCACACAGCCTCAGTTGCAGGGGTGACAGTAAATCTGCTCTTTTAAAATCCTTTATCTTAAAAATTCTCACGCACATCTAAATGTAAAGAGAGAAGGAGAGCGAATCCATCGTCCAGGCTGAAAAATCAGCCACATCCTGCTACCCTGCCTCCAGCTGTGTCCCCACATGCTTTAAAATAAATCACAGACAACATGTCATCTCTTCCACCTATTTCGTGTCTCTAGCAAATGGGTTCTCTTCTTCACATCACCGCAGTGTAGTCATTTCACCTGACAGTTAGTGATGATTCCCTAATGTCATCCAATACCCAGTCCGTGTTCACTTTCTCTGGTGGCCTCTGAAGGTTTTTTGACCAAGGATGTGCAGCGTGCTTGCGTTGGACTCTGAGCACACCCAGCTGGCCTCCGGACGGCACATCTCTGAAAGTCCTCAGTCTTCAGCCGTTTCCTACCCCTGTGAAGTGCATTTTAACTGAAGACACTGGGTCATTCTTCCTGTAGAATTTTCACTCTGTTTACCTGACGCTTTTCTTGGGCCTTAATGTTGGCATTTCCCCAAATCCCATCCTTGACCGCCTTGTCCCCTGCCTACACTTTCGTCCTGGTTATCACATTTATTCCTAGGACTCTAATTGAGAACTCAATGCTAATGGCTCCCAAGTCTATATATTTTCCCCAGCTCTCTGTCTTGAGATCCAATGGTATCTAAGAGTGCGGGATTTCTCTGCTTAGATAACACATAATAACTCAAACTTAAAATGTCCAATTCTGAGCTCATCCTCCTCTCCTTCAAGCCTGTTCCTTCCCCTGCCCCATACTCCTTGAATGAGGATCTGCTGGTGTTTCAGACACAGCAAGCCCTGCAACCACTGGAGAATGTGCCCATTATGGAACCGACCATTGGTGGGAACCTGGCTAGGGGCTCGTTCCTCTAGGGCGTGTGCCTGTGGGAATGCGAGGAGGGTCACTAGTGCACGTGAGGCCCTGGCAATGGGGAGGAGGCCGGAGAGCCGCCGGGCTGTGTGCAGGAGCTCCAGCTCCACCCATGCCCAGAGCATAGGGCAGGACACAGATGTCGGAGGGAATAGCCCACAGTGGACCCAAGTCCTTTCCAAAGTGCAAGAGAGAAAATACTGTCCGCCGAGACAAGGGTTGCGCACACACCTCTCCAGCGGCTTTGGGACTAAGTTTGCTGTATGCAGATGTGAGTAACTCCAGCCCAGGCTGTTTTGCCTTCTCCCTGGAAGCCTGGAATAACGATACCACCAGAGGTTTGTTTTGCCAGTAGTTCTCCATTTTTATGGTGAAGGACGGGGACCCTGTGCGCATGGAGACTTATCTCTGGGAAGGATGAGGAAGGAGCTCAGTCTTTCTGAATTTTATGGCATAGGTTTCTAAAAACTTTTGCAATAGAAAAATGTGTAGTTATAAAGAATAAAATCTTAAAAAGTAACACTAGGTGACTAAGGTGGAATGTGGACTGACAAATTCATTTGAGGCTTTTTAACTATTCAGTAAAATAAAGCGATGAGGACTCTGTATCAGTTACCTGTTGGTGCTGTAAAAAGTTACCGCACATGCAGTGGCTTAAAACAACACAAACATATTATCTTACGGTTCTGGAGAGCACAAGTCCAGCCTCAGTTTCACTGGGCAAAGTCAAGGTGCTGGTGGGCTGGTTCCTGCTGGAGGCCCCACAGCAGTGTGCGTTTCCTTGTTTTCCAGCTTCCAGGGGCCTGGCCCATTTGTCTTCAAAGCCCGTGGCTCCAGCCTCCGCTTCCGCCACCGTGGGGCCTTCCCTCTGACGCCTCCCTCTTACAGGGACCCTGGTGATTACCCAGTGTAAACTGGGCCCAGGGTAATCCGGGATAATTTCCTGTCTCAAGGTTCTTAACTTAATCTCATTTGCAAAGTCCCTTTTGCCTCACAGGTCACAGAATCCTAGGTTCTGGGGATTAGGATGTGGCCATATCCCGGGGGAGGTTATGACTCAGCTACCACAAACATCACATCAAATTGGCTTGTACGACTGCGTAGATCTTAAATAACAATGGGTCCTTCCTGAGGCTGATTTCCGCTCACTCTCGCTTCTTGTTAGAAACATTTTTGTGTTTCCTTTGCAGCAGCTTTTCCTCCTCATAGCTGTCCTGCGTCTGACATCAGGTTTCCTTGTTTGCAGGCCTGCCCTGCTCCAGGTACTGACCCAGAAAGAGCTTTGGGAGCTCCTTTTGGGGGCTCAGTGCCCTATGACTCAGGAGGTAGCTTCTGGGGCCCTTGCCACCACCCGAAGTCTGTAGGCCCTGCTCCCCGGCTGCCTCCCGCCGGCTCTCGCATGGCCCAGCCCTCCCCTTCCGGGCATCCGCCTCGCCTTGCAGTAGTGAGGCCAGGACAGCCTTGCCCATCTCCCCCTCGCTGCTCAGCAGAGCCTCTGGCTCTTCCTCTGCTGGCCTCAGCTCCCACTTTTCCTCCTGATATTCCTCAAAAGTCACAGAGCTCTAGGACCTCCACAAGCTCTTGCAGGTGGGAAGGAGAGGGACTGGAGTAAATCTGTTCCCACATTCCCAAGGCTGACACATGTGGCAAGGAGGTCACATTCCCTGTGATCCCTGAGTATCTCTGCCATCAGAGCAGGGCCGCTGCCATGAGCCTCTGTGTCTGAGCCACACCCCTGCCTGGGGACTTAGCTACTCTGTAGGCCCTGCTGCTCTGGGCCTAGTTCCCCCGGAGGTGTGAGCCCTCCTAGCATATTCTGCTGACTGATGTTCTTACTCTGCACAGTACCGGCCCTTGTCCATCTCTTCCAAAATGAAGAGAGGCTCCCAGGGAGGAGGACCCCATGGGGGGCTGCTCGGGCTTCTTGAACTCCAAGGTTTAGATGTTATAAAAATATTTCTTGCAGTACACACACAGCCATGTGTGTATATGTGCATGTGCACGTGTGTGGGTGTGTGCATGTGTGTAGATATGTGCACATGCTTGGTTTGTGCATTTGTATATGTGGTGTGTGCATGTGTACCCATGTGTGCATGTATGTCTATCTGCATGTGTGTGGTTTGTGCATATGCATGTGTGTGAAGGTGTGTGCATGTGTGTGTGCATCTGTATGCAGGTGTGTGCATATGTTAGCATGTGTATATACATGTGTGGATTTGTGTGTAGGTGTGTTGGCATGTGTGCACACATGTGTGGATTTGTGTGTAGGTGTGTTGGCATATGTGTACACATGTGTGGATTTGTGTGTAGGTGTGTTGGCATGTGTATACATGTGTGGATTTGTGTGTAGGTGTGTTGGCATGTGTGTATACGTGTGTCCATTTGCGTGTAGGTGTGTTGGCATGCGTGTATACGTGTGTCCATTTGTGTGTAGGTGTGTTGGCATGTGTGTATACGTGTGTCCATTTGTGGCATGCGTGTATATGTGTGTCCATTTGTGTGGTGTGTTGGCATGCATGTATACATGTGTGGATTTGTGTGTAGGTGTGTTGGCATGTGTGTATACATGTGTCCATTTGTGTGTAGGTGTGTTGGCATGTGTGTTGTGCACATGTGTATACATGTGTGCATATGTTGCTTGTGTATGTGTGCATGTGTGTGCACACACGTGCCCTGGAGCATGCACACTTTGTAGGGCAGCTCTGGGACAGCTCCCACACCCCCTGAGCTCGGGCGCGGCTGCTCTTTGCTGGATCTGGGCTCATTGCCCTGTCTGATGGGGCTCTCCAGGATCCCTCCTGCTCCAGGGTTCCTTCTCCCCTTTTTGCATTCTGTCTCTATCCTTCTCTTGGGTCGTGTGTCTGAATGCTAACTACAGAAAGGCCGGCAGTTTCCCTGAGGGAGCCCTCAGTTCCCATGGGAATCAGGCCCTGTGAAGGGATAATTGGAGGAGTGTGTGGGGGAGAGAAGGTTTCAGCACCTCCTCATGGGAAATCCACTCACGTCTCAGCTGCAGTGAGCATGCGCCCCGGCAGCGCTGGGCCCCGTCGGTGTGCTTGGTGTTGGGGTACAACCCCACACATGGATTTGGGCCGTTTTAAGGACCAGCCAGGTCTGCTTTGAACCTGCTCTGATGGGTTGAAAGCAAATGAATAACACGTTGGGCTAAAATCATGTGATTCAGTTTTATGCTTTTAGAATTCGCTTTGTCTACTCTCTATTCTGACCATAGGAATAGGAGATAATGTTGAAAATATTTATGAAATGTAAAGCCCAGGGCGCCATGGATTCGGGCAGTCTGGGTAGCTGCCTGCCCCAGTGACCACAGGGCTGCCCTGGGCCCATGTTGGCTTTGGAAGCAGGTAGTTGTTCAAAGATAAGTAATGGCAATAGGTCAGCTTGTTTAGCTGCCCAGGGGTATGTATTGCTGGGAACTCTTTCTGGGTGATGATGTGGGAAAATGTCATTCACGGCCACGATGAACCTATTCTGAAAGTCATCCAGGTGAGGGTGGCATCGGTGGGGTCCGGTTCTCATCCTGGTGCTGGGACCAGCCCACAGCTGCCTCCCTGGAGCATCCTGACTGCATCCCAGGGCTTTGGGTTCTTGCTGGTCATTCCCTGAGGGTGGAGAGTGGGGCCGTGGCCACTCACCCGCTTTTTACTTGCATGATCTCATGGCTTCTGGTCACTGAGAGGTGCAGGTGTGTAGCCTGATTAGAACCCCTGCCCCTCAAAGCTTGCCTGTTCTGTGGCTTGTGCTTAAGGCCTGGCCGCGGGGAAAGGTGCTCAGCAAGGGTGGCTTGTGCTGACGGAGGTGCCTTCCAGCACACCCCAGGCATCCTGTGCTGAGGCCTTGGGTTTGGTCTTTTGGAAGCTGAATCTCTGAACAACCAGCCTATCAGTCAGGGTTCTCCAGAGAAACAGAACCAACCGGATACACAGTTCAAAGAATTTGTTTTTAAAAATTGGCTCATGTGGTTGTGGGGGCTGGCATATCTGAAATCTGCAGGGAGGCTGGAGTCAGGCGGGCTTCTGTATTATGGTCTTGAGGCAGAGCTCCTCTGGGAAACCTAAGTTTTACTTTTACTCAGGTTTTACTCCTTCAACTGATTGGACACGGCCCACCTGCATATGGAGGGGAATCTGCTTTACTCAAAGTCAATTGATTGTAGTTGTCAATCACATCTGCAAATGCATCCACAGCAGCAACTGGACTGGTGTTTGACCAAACAACAACTTGGTGGCATAATGGCCCACCAAGGTGACACAAAATTCACGATCACACCCAGTCTGGAATTTCTTTCAATGGTTGTACTTGAGTATTATTTCCTGAACTTTAACAGCAGTTTTCTTCAAACACAGCCATGTAAGTTCAAGTTTTTAATTTACTTTAAAATGGTTGTTGAGAAAATTGTGCTTTAGTGAAGCACCTAATGCCCCTATATTTGTACCATGTGAGAGATTTCTCTTGAAAATTAGTGTTAAGAATATATTTTCTTTTCCTGAGAAATAGAAACTAAATGTTTTGTGATAAACCATGTTTACATTTTTGCCTTGGCTGCTAGGGAGCTCAAAGCCAAATTTGATTTATGATTATAAGGATTATGTTGATTTTCTATTTTTTAAAAAGCCAATTTCTCCCATATTTCCCTTACCCATTTCCTTCTGAATTCCCATTTGCATTGTCTATTTTTTTGTCAACTACATCAAAACTTTTTCAAAGGCAAACAATACAAATACATTTCCATAAATAAATTATTTCAATGCTCTCAAATAAATGGGTCTGAACTTAACATTTTGATAGCACAAATGTGTTTAAAGTCAGCCTTCAGTAACCATCATAAAAAGTAATGTGTTCAATTCTCTTTAAATTGTCATTATGTTCTGGTTGGCAATAATTGTAAGTAGCTACTTCTTTCTGTATATCAAAAATTTTAGTAGCATTTACACAAATTATATTTATATATTAAAATTTTTGGTACACAGAAAGGATAGAACTACTAAATCTTGTATATATATATTATGTATGAGGTCTCCTTTTTTCTTTTTTTAAGTATTTATTGATCATTCTTGGGTGTTTCTCAGAGAGGGGGATGTGGCAGGGTCATAGGATAATAGTGGAGAGAAGGTCAGCAGATAAACACGTGAACAAAGGTCTCTGGTTTTCCTAGGCAGAGGACCCTGCGGCCTTCCGCAGTGTTTGTGTCCCTGGGTACTTGAGATTAGGGAGTGGTGATGACTCTTAACGAGCATGCTGCCTTCAAGCATCTGTTTAACAAAGCACATCTTGCACCGCCCTTAATCCATTTAACCCTGAGTTGACACAGCACATGTTTCAGAGAGCACAGGGTTGAGGGTAAGGTCATAGATCAACAGGATCCCAAGGCAGAAGAATTTTTCTTAGTACAGAACAAAATGGAGTCTCCTATGTCTACTTCTTTCTACACAGACACAGGAACAATCTGATCTCTCTTTCTTTTCCCCTCATTTCCCTCTTTTCTTTTCGACAAAACCGCCATCGTCATCATGGCCCGTTCTCAATGGTCGCTGTCTCTTTGGAGCTGTTGGGTACACTTCCCAGATGGGGTGGCCTGGCAGAGGCGCTCCTCACTTCCTAGACGGGGTGGCGGCCAGACAGAGGCACTCCTCACCTCCCAAACGGGGTGGCGGCCGGGCAGAGACGCTCCTCACATCCCAGACGATGGGCGGCCGGGCAGAGGTGCTCCTCACCTCCCAGATGATGGGCGGCCGGGCAGAGGCACTTCCCACCTCCCAGATGGGGCGGCCGGGCAGAGGCACTCCTCAACTCCCAGATGAAGAGCGGCCGGGCAGAGACGCCCCTCACCTCCCAGATGGGGCGGCTGGGCAGTGGCACTCCTCACTTCCCATTTGGGGCAGCCAGGAAGAGACCCTCCTCACTTCCTCCCAGACAGGGCGGCCGGGCAGAGGCACTCCTCACTTCCCATTCGGGGCAGCCGGGCAGAGGCGCTCCTCACTTCCTCCCAGACGGGGTGGCCGGGCAGAGGCGCTCCTCACTTCCCATTCGGGGCAGCCGGGCAGAGGCGCTCCTCACTTCCTCCCAGATGGGGTGGCTGGGCAGAGGCGCTCCTCACTTCCCATTCGGGGCAGCCGGGCAGAGGCGCTCCTCACTTCCTCCCTGATGGGGCGGCCAGGCAGAGGTGCTCCTCACATCCCAGACGATGGGCGGCCAGGCAGAGACGCTCCTCACATCCCAGATGGGGTGGCGACCGGGAAGAGGCGCTCCTCACATCTCAGACGATGGGCGGCCAGGCAGAGACGCTCCTCACATCCCAGACGGCGTGGCGGCCGAGCAGAGGTGCTCCTCACATCCCAGACAATGGGCAGCCAGGCAGAGACACTGCTCACTTCCTAGATGGGGTGGCGGGCGGGCATAGGCTGTAATTTTAGCACTTTGGGAGGCCAAGGCAGGCGGCTGGGAGGTGGAGGTTGTAGCGAGCCAAGATCACACCACTGCACTCCAGCCTGGGCAACATTGAGCACTGAGTGAGCGAGACTCTGTCTGCAATTCCAGCACCTCGGGAGGCCGAGGCGGGCAGATCACCCAAGGCCAGGAGCTGGAGACCAGCCCGGTCAACACGGTGAAACCCTGTCTCCACCAAAAATACAAAAACCAGTCAGGAGTGGCGGCACATGCCTGGAATCCCAGGCACTCAGCAGGCCGAGGCAGGAGAATCACCGGAGCCCGAGGGATGGAGGTTGCAGCGAGCCAAGATCATGGCAGTACAGTCCAGGCTCCGCAAGAGAGGGAGACTGAGAGGGAGAGGGAGAGGGAGAGGATGTATGAAGTCTCCTAAGTTGAATTCTGTATGTCTTCATTATTTCAAAATTTGCTCATAAAAGAAGTAATCAACCATTTGTAATTCAGCAGACCCGGGATATGACACCTTTCTAGGGCACTGGAAAACTAACTCACTGTGGTTCCATTTTTAAAGCTGGATTTTGATGTTTAGTTTTCACTCATGGAGCAGCTGTCCTGCCTGATAGTGTGCTTGGTACTTTACATGCTCACTCACAATTCTCAGACTGTCAGGCACATGGCTGGGGGCAGCACACCTGCACAAGGTCACAGTACTTGTGAGAGGCATCACGGAGACTTGGCAGTTGCCTGCAGAGCTTGTGCATGCTCCTCAGGCCGCTGTGCCTCCTGCCAGAGTGCTGAGCTTCTTCAGGCCACTGTGCCTCCTGCCAGAGTACTGAGCTTGCAGAGCTTGTGCATGCTCTTGAGGCCGTTGAGCCTCCTGCCAGAGTGCTGAACTTCCTCAGGCTGCTGTACCTCCTGCCAGAGTGCTGAGCTCACAGAGCTTGTGAATGCTCCTCAGGCTGCTGCACCTCCTGCCAGAGTGCTGAGCTTGCTCTCGGACAGCAAGTGAGAATTTGCTGGGGATCAATGATGAGATTCTCTTTCATAGAAGGAAGGAAGGGATCACTGGCATGATGCTCAGCCGGCGGCCTGGCTTTGGGAAGTGGATTCATGCATCACCTGTTTCAAGGTGGTGACTGAAGCCCTGGTGTTAGACACAACATGATCTGAGGACAGACGGGCCCTGGGTTGTGGAGGGAGCCTGGCGTGCTGAGGCTGACCTGGCCGCAGAGCTTCAGGAGGGAGAGCTCCTGAGGGTGGAGCTGCCACAACAGGAGCCCCCACCACCACCTACACACAAAGCCACATCCTAGGAGCCTCAGCCGGGTGCCTGGTGCTCTGTGGATTCCCCGTTTAAACCCTGCCCGCATGCTGGGGCATAGCAGTAAAGGTCGCCATTCTCACTTCCCAGGTGAGGAGGCCGAAGGGCAAGGAGGCCAAGCGTGTCTTCCTCATGTGTGACAACACGCCTCCCACAGCTGTCAGGGTCTGTGTGTGGAGCTGTGCCAGGGCCTGCTGGGGCTGGCCGGCTCGGGGAATGGGTCCACCCAGCTTTCTTAGTCCAGGACCAGAGGAAGGGCCAGACCTGGAGAATCTCTGCATGGGTGGGGGCGTGCCGGGGCGGGCAACAGGAGGCCAAAGGCTGCCCCAGCTTTCAGGGCCCCTCGCCAACCCTCGGCATCCTCCAGGCCCAGGTGGCCCAGGGTGTCTTCAGGCACAGTGGCCGGGAAGCTGGAAGGGGGCAGCTGTGGAAGGGCCGAGTTCCTCTCCTCCGCAGTTTTCTTCCTCCTGCTTTGCAAGGCAGAGCCTGCTTGATGGAATGTTTTTCAAGCATTGCTTTCTGCAGGCCCTGAGCCTCCTCCTGACTCATATAGACCTGTGTACACATGTTCCCTGGGGCGGCGTGCCTATGTGCCTATGGGAAGGGTCTTGTCAGTCACACACTGCACAGCACAGAGAGTGTGCCCCGGACTGGGTGGGCCGCTGGCTGCTGTCCTGGGCAGGGGCAGCATCTTTGCCCAGAGGTGAATCAGCGTTTTCCTCCCTGTGCAGCTGTTGAAAGAGGGGAGTTAAGGACGGGGCAAGGAATGAAGGACCCCAGCCGCCCCCATCTGCTGCGGCCCTGAGCCCGCGAGCCCCAGTGCTGGTGTCTACATGGCCCTTCCTCTTGGGCTCCAGAGCCTCATGATCCCCTGAAGCTACAGGCTCCCCAGAGCATAGCCCCAGCATCAGAGACCCAGGTTGGAGCAGCTGCCAGGAGGGTCCCCAGCTGTCCACACCCAGACTTCCAGCCCTCCTGCTCTGCTGGCCCCAGGCTCATCTGACACCCCACATTTCTGGGGTGGGCTGTGGCTCCTGGAGTTCTCACCACTGCCTCCCTGTCTCTCCCCTTCTCCTCTGTGCTGCCTCCCTGTCTCTCCCCTTCTCCTCTGTGACTCCCGGAGTTCTCACTGCTGCCTCCCTGTCTCTCCCTGCTCCTCTGTGGCTGCCGGCCCCATCTTTCCAGGCTGTGGCTTCCATCTTCCCCTGCTCTGGAGGGGCTTCTGGTGCTTGTGCAGAGGGCTCTGGCCCTTCCTTGCATTTAAGACCTGGGCAGGTCCTGTCTTACAAGTCCCAGTTCAGGTTCTTTGCAGCCCAGTGCTGAGCAGCTTCTTTGCCCATCCGAGCCGCCTCTTCCTCATCCATGTAGACGGAAAGAGTAACCGTGTTTGTGAGCTGTGTGTGGAAGGGCACAGCACGGGGCCTGGTGGGGCTGACAGGTGCTGGGTGCATACCCCCACCATCGCTGTCATCATCTGTGGGGCTGGGCAGCCGTGACTGCATCTTCTCCTGGTCACAGCATCCTGGGCAGCCAGGTGGGGCTCCGGGGGTCCAGCTGATGAGACGTCCAGTCAGGGCCTGGGGAGCCTGTTGGCCCCATCCGCCTTCCCTGTCGGCTGTGACCTCAGAAGTCTCGTGTTGGAGATGCGGGAGCTACCGTGTGGATCCCTGAGCCAGAGCCTAGAGGGACCTTCTGGAAACAGGAAATGCTCCTTCCGTGTCATGTGGGCAGGAAGTGCTGCTGTTACAGCACCCGCCTCACCTCACTGTGCAGCAGCTGAAACTCAGTGTGAGGCCTGAGTTTCCCATCTGTGAGGACCCTCCAGGTGCTCCTCAGTGTGCAGAGCCCTGCCCGTCACGAGATCCCCACAGGAATGAGGCAGGCAAGGCCTGTGCATCCCCCATGAGCCTCAGCCATGCCCGGTTCAGGTAGCTGGAGATGGGGCTTTTCCCACACTGTCTCTCACTTTGCTCCTCTCCCCTGAATAAAGGCAGAATGAGATGGGATCCCTCAGGAGCCCCTGATATGGTTTGGCTCTGTGTCCCCACCCAAATCTCATCTAGAATTGTGATCCCCAGTGTCGAGGGAGGGACCTGATGGGAGGTGATTGGATCATGGGGGCGGTTCCCCCAGGCTGTTCTCATGATGGTGAGGGAGTTCTCACGATATCTGATGGTTTAAAGGTGGCAGTTTCCCCTGCTGTCTCTCTCCTGCCACTTTGTGAAGAAGATGCCTGTTTCTCTTTAGCCTTCCACATGATTGTAAGTTTCCTGAGGCCTCCCCAGCCATGAGCAACTAAGTCAATTAAACCTCTTTCCTTTCTAAATTAACCAGTCTCAGGTAGTATCTTTATAGCAGTGTGAGAATGGACTATTACTTTTCTGGATGACTTGAGGAATAATTCTAGAGTTTAGGTTTAAAGATCTACCCTATGACAGTAAACATTCAAATTTTGAGCTTGGTTTTCCTTAGACTGGGGCTCCAAATGTCATTTCTATGGGACACCCAAAATAGCAAGTGAGACACGGTACTATATATTAAGATATAATTACGTAGTTAATGATAATTGGTATAGTTTAAAATATAAATTAGTATAAAATATAAAATAGTTTAAAATATAAATTATATAAATTGGTATAGTTTAAAATATAAATTCCTTTGTAAAGGAATAATTCTGAGGATGGTTTGTAGCTTTCACCAGTGTTTCAGGAAGACGTGTAATGTTAAATGTTTAACAGTCTTGATTTGGTGCCTATCTCTTACATTTGAGACTTCCCTAGGCCAGTGGTTACTAAACTTCACTGTGCATTCAGATCACACATGTTTGCCGAATGCAGATTCCTGGGCTCTGCCATGCCACAGATCTGGAATTAAGCAGGGCTTCTGATTTTAAGCAGGTGACAATAATGCCGACGTCTTTGGTTTGGCATCTGGTCGACCCTTTTCCTGGGATGTGCCTGGGGGAATAGCAGGATCTGTGCCCATCATGCCTGCCTGCATGGCTCTGTGTCTCTGTGATGTCCACGGAAGATGACAGCAGTTTCTGAGCATTGAGAATCAATGACATCCTGTTCAAAGAGCACGTGGGTTCCAGGAAGATGTGAGCATTTAGACAACCCGTCCTGGAGCCCCAAGTCATGACGGGCCAGTTGCGAAACAAAACACACGAGGAGCCCCTGTGCTTCTTGCCCGCCATTTGTGGGCAGCAATTCCCCAAGCAGGGAGCATGCGTCCACTTGCTGTGACTGTGCTGTGCTCACCACTGGGGACAAAAGACTCCCTGAATGGGGACACAGAGCTGGTGCTGGCCCCGAGGTGGGGACGGTCAGCGAAGAGCAGAGTCAGCCAGGGAGGGAGAGCGGGAGAAATCCTGAAGGAGTTAACTCTTCTCGCAGTCATGGTGCCCCATTCTATGGGCAGCATTGGCTGGAAGTGCCAGGAAAGGTTAGTGTCTGCCTTCACTGGAGTCACCCACTTCTTTTAGCTGAGAGGATGCTGGGTTTTGACGCGCTGCGTTGTATAATCAGTAATGGGTTGTTAATGTTCTGTAGGCTGTTTCGTTTATCCTTGGATAAACATTAACCGAGTGTAGTTACATACATTAATACATGACTGTACCATCACACACATGTTCTCATGGGTGTGGACACCTCACTCCATCTGTCTCATGTCTACGTTTTAAATATTTAACAAGGAGAACGCAATGTTATGGGAAAGCAGCTCCAGATCTCGACACTTTGGCCTGAGGAAATCGTTTTGCCTTCTTATGTTTAGCTTCCTGCTTTTATTTTTAGCAACAATAAACACACACAGAAACTCAGCTCTGAAAACCCTTTCTGCTCTGCTCTGTCTGTGTGACCCCCATCCTGGGTGTACCCGGGGTTTTGTGTCTCCGCAGTCTGGTTTCCCAGCAATGGGGAGAAATCCAGCCATTCATTTGCATTTTTTTCTACCCTGTCATCAAACCAGGGGCCATGCTGGCCTTGGCCAGTCTCTAAGGACAAATGCTGTGGGCGCTCTGGAGAGCTGGGAGCAGCCCCAGGTCCTGGCTCCTGGCTGCACCCTCAGCACCACTGGCTTCACTCCTGTAGTGCGCAGACTTGGGAGATGGCCCCATGCCCTTGTTCCAAACAGCATAGCTGCGAACAGAATTCACGGGTGTCTTTACCCTTCACCTGCACACTCGGCGTGCCCTCAGTCTCTGTGGTGTCTGTGTGTGAGTGTGTGGGGTGGGTAGGTGTTTGGGGGAAGGTCAGAGTGCCACACAAATGCTTTCTCAGGTTGAGAAGAGGAAATGGGCCTATCTGGAAGCAGCAGGGAGGTTGGCCTTGAGTGAAGCGTCAGCACACAGAGAATGTTCCCTGGCATGTTCACACCTGCACAACCGTGCACACGCTCTCGGATGAGCACCTCCCTGTGTGTGCCTGGGCTGCCTGGAGGTGAGGGGTGGGCCAGTGACGGTCCTTTGTAGCGATATACTGCAAACAAGCTGAGCTGGGTGGGGCGCTGAGGGTCCCTTCCCTCCGTCCCTGCCACCCTTTCTGGAGCCTCCTTCATGGCCAGGTGCAAACCTGCCTTTGCCTGGAGCTGCTCTGGCACCGCTCCGGCTTCCAGCTGAGTTCTCCTCCCTCCCACCCCCACCCCACAGCCTCCCGCTCAGGCAGGGACGATGCCTCTCCGCAGGTCAGGCAGCAGCACAGGTTGCTGGCCGGGGCAGCCGTCACTCACCCCAAGGCCCAAGGACACATCCCTGGGGCTGAGACACCAAGGTCGCTGTGGTACCTGGGTCTTCAATTAGTGGCCCAGCAGGCTGTGGCCCCACTTACCCGGCCGGCCTTCCTTCCTATCTTCCGGATCGGCTTCAGGACAACACTGTGTTTCCACTGATATAGGCTCCCTTGGCACCAGTAACACACATGCACACACACTCACACCCACACACACGCTCACACTCACCACACACAAACACACATGCACACACATGCTCACACTCACCACACAAACACATACGCACACACATGCTCACACTCACCACACACAAACACGTATGCACACACATGCTCACACTCACCACACAAACACATATGCACACACACGCACACACAAACACATATGCACACACATGCTCACACTCACCACACACAAACACATATGCACACAGATGCTCACACTCACCACACACAAACACGTATGTACACAGATGCTCACACTCACCACACACAAAAACACATGCACTCACACACTCACACTCACCACACACAAACATACATACACTCACCACACATATAAACACAGATGCACATACACTCTCACCCACACACCACACACATGCACACATACACCACACATATAAACACACATGCACACACACAAGCACACACACCACACACAAACACATATGGACATACATGCACACATACACTCACACCCACACACAGGCACACACACAGGCATATACATGCACACGCTCACACATGTATGTGCACACACTCAAGCATTGACACACACAAGGCACATCTGCACACGCACATTTTCAAGCACACTCACACTTGCACTCCTGCACACCTGCACAAACACATGCACAGGCAGCCGAGGCTGGGCTGTGTCCAGTGCACATGGCATCCTGGTGCTCACAGCTTCTCAAGGAACCCACAGAGTCCATGTCTCACCAGCAACCCCCACCCCTCACGCCCCCTCCCTGGTGCTCCTTCCCCCTGCAGCCGGGAGAGACAGGTCCACAGAGAGAACCTGTGGGGGACATGCCTGAGGCCGCTCACCACAGCCAGACTGAGCTTCTGTCAGTGGCGAGGGTTGGGGGCTGGTACAGAGGAGCCCCTGGGATAGGAGGGGCCAAACAGGAATTGGATCCCAGCAACCCAGGCCCATGGCCACGGGCAGGTCATCCCTTTGCAGGTCGCGTTGGCCTCACCTGCAGATGGGTGATGAATCAAACACGGGGCATGGGAAGTACCTGTTGAGGAAGGATGTCAGTGTTGGGCACACTGTGTGGACAGTGGTCAATGACAAGGCTCCGGCGAGTTGTGCGGCAGGACTCAGATGCCTGCTGGGTCTGAGCACAGATGCATTTGTGCTCACCTGGTTTGCCACTGTGGTGATGGCACGTGCACGGGCCAGTTGCTTCTTGACGTCTTGATCTCGCCGGTGGAGTCACAGCTGGGTGGGCGGCTTGGGAGCCCCGCCTCGCATCCCTGCACCTGTGTCTTCCAGCAGGGTTTGCTGGAGCTGCGGCAGCAGGGCAGAGCCTCTGGACGTGCAGTTAGGGTTGGCTGTCTGCCAAAAGGTGCACCTGCTGGCAGCAGAGCCGGAAGCAGCAGTTCTTTTGAGAAGCAGACATTTATTAAGTGCTTGCTGTGTGCAGGTGGACAAAAAAGCATTTGCTAATGAGACAGTTACTCATCCAAACAAATGTGCCTCTCGACCGCACACTTGTATTCGTCCGGGTTCTCCAGAGAAACAGTCCAATGGGATAGACAGAGGGACAGATAGATAATAGGTAAATAGACAGGGTCAGTGGGTGAATAAATGGATGGATGGTTGGATAGACAGGCAGATAATGAGAGATAAATAAACAGACAGATAGAAAGAGATTATTATAAGGAATTGGCTCCTGAGATTGTGGAGGCTGAAAAGTCCCAAGATCTGCAGTTAGCAAGCTCGAGGTCCCAGGAAGGCCAATTCAGTTCAAATCCGAAGGCCAAAAAGACCAAGGTCCCAGCTCCAGCAGTCAGGCAGGAGTGCCCTCTTCCT
Organism: Homo sapiens; assembly: GCF_000001405.40. Lineage (NCBI taxonomy): Eukaryota > Metazoa > Chordata > Mammalia > Primates > Hominidae > Homo > Homo sapiens. Next base: position 140,586 of record NT_187552.1, read on the forward strand.
TGGGGCAGGGTTGGCCTCTTTGGTCTCTTCAGGCCTTCAGCTGATCGGCTGAGGCCCACTCACATTGGAGAGGGTGGTCTGTTGTACTGAGTCTACTGATTCAAACATCCATCTCATCCAAATGCACCCATGCAGACTGAATATCTCGACACTGTGTGGCCCGGTCAGGTTGACACACAAAATTCACCCTCACCTGCTCGGCCTCAGAACCGCACCACGGGGGCAGGGTTCACTCTGACTCCCCCAGCTCCCTCCTCTGCCCCTGGAGCTGGCAGCTGCTGCCATCATGGATGTCCTGTGGGGGCTCAGGCTGTGTGCTTTCCCCAGAGAGCTGAGTTTCAGGAAAATCCACGTGGAGCCTTTCTTTTCTGTTGTCAAGGAGAGAAGCCTGGTGTCATCCATGGGAAGAGGCGGCCATTGGCAGAATCCTGGGAGGGTCTGGCAGCTTCCCTGAGTGCCATGGAGGCCAGGATTTGTCCCATAGCCCTGGCTCTCAGCCACCCCACCTTGCGTGTCCACAGGGTCAGTCTCTGCGTGCAGCTGGTGTTGGACTGAGGGGACAAGGCAGAAGCCCCCCTGGGCCATGCCACAGCACACAGTGCCAGCGCGTTTGCCTCTGAGGCCCCAGGCCAGGGCCTGTCTGAAGTGCCCCAGGACTGGGAGAGATTTGACTCCAGGAGCACAGGGAAGTGCCTGGGAAGACTCGGTTAAACTAAAGCAAACCACAGGGTGTCTTCAATTCAAAATGGAATTTTTCAAAACATTTTAACGTTTCTGAAATCAGAAACTTGACATGGCAAGATTGATGTCCTGATACGTAAAATCGTGGAGGCCGGGTCAGATGAGGGGCAGCAGGTGCCAACTGAGGCCCGGCTGTGCCACCGTGGCAGGAGGGGCCCCTCTGCAGCTGCACGCAGCCTTGTGATGGGTGGGAGGGGGGCAGTGGACGCTTGCTGAGGGGCAGCAGGGATGTCTCCTTCCTCGTCCAGGCCTCACGGCCACACAGGGCTGGGCACTGACCACCCTGGCTATCATCCTCACCCAGGCAGACCCTGGAGTCTGGCCACACTGAATCCTGACATTCATTTCCTTAGATGAATGCTTCTGATAGGAGTTTTGTGATCTTCTAGGATGGATGGAGGGATTTGCTTGTCATATGCTAGTTAGTTACGTGTAAATGGTATATTTGATGTGCCAGGCATCCTGCCCGGTAAGTGCATGGTGTATTCCTTGTTCTAAGTACTGGACTGCACAAATGAAGGCACCTTTTTTGTCTTCTGCATTGTGATAGGTAAATGGATGGTGCTTCTTTTGCTAGGTGCTGTGCTGTACATGAAGGTCCCTTCCATGTGGCTGGTGTTCTGCTGGGTAAGTAAAGGCACCTTCCTGTGCTGGGTGCTGTGCTGGGTACACGAAGCTACCTTCTTCCGGTGCTAGGTGCTGTGCTGGGTACATGAAGCTACCTTCTTCCTGAGCTAGGTGCTGTGCTGGGTACACGAAGCTACCTTCTTCCTGAGCTAGGTGCTGTGCTGGGTACATGAAGCTGCCTTCTTCCGGTGCTAGGTGGTTTGCTGAGTAAATGTAGGTACCCTTTGTGTGACAGGTGTTGTGCTTAGTAAATGAAGGCGTCTACCATGTGTTAGGTCCTGAGCTGGGTAAATGAAGGCAGCCTCTAATAGCTCAGACCTGTGCTGGGTAAACGGTGATAGCTTCCCCGTGCCAGGTCCTGTGCTGGGTAAATGAAGGCAGCCTCCAATAGCTCGGACCTGTGCTTGGTAAATGGTGATAGCTTGCATGCACCAGGTCCTGGGCTGGGTGAATGAAGGCAGCCTCCAATAGCTAGGTCCTGTGCTCGGTAAATAGCTTCCCTGTGCCAGGTCTTGTGCTGGGTAAATGAAGGTAGCTTCCATGTGGTAGGTGCTGCGCTGCGTAAGTGAAGGTGCCTTCCACGTGCTCGGTCCTGTGCTGGGCACTTGAAAGTGTCTCCCACTCGCGAGGTGGTTTGCTTAGTAAATGAAGGCCCCTTCCACGTGCTGAGGAAATGACACTGCCTTCCACGTGCTGGGGAAATGAATGGTACCTTTTATGTTTTCAGCCCTGGGCCAATTGTATTCAAATATTCCGTTTTCATCTTTTTAGCAACCATGGAAGAATACAAGTATTTCCATTTTATATGCAAGGACGATGAGACCAACTTCAAGTGGTGAAGTTGGTACAGATTCCTCTTCTATCAGGCCTGTGAGGTTTTGTGTGAAACCCTCATGCTTTATACACAGGTTTTGCTGTCCTGTGGTTGTCCATCAGGTTCTGGGAATTCTGAGCTGGAATGAGGCACTCCAGTAGCGTCTTCCCAAGGGTAGACCACACAGCACACGAAGCCCACCAAGCCTGCACCGCCCACACAGCACGGCCCCTCGCTGCAGACCTGCTGCCCTTGTGGGTTTAGGCCTGGTGCTCCCCTCTCACAGGGCCGTGCCTCAGACCCCACATCCGCGCTGCAACCTGGAATGCACCTGCCGCATGGTGTGAGAGGCGTTTTGTGGGAGACGCCCAGGGCAGTACCTGCACTGGAAAATACTCAGTGGCTACTGGGCCATGCTGAGGGGCCTTTAGGACATGGAGCTGGAGCTGTGGAGGGCTGGGTTTTGGTCCCATTTGACTCTCCCCCATGCCTCATCCTGAAGTTCTTTAATCTTGGTCTGATGTTTAAAGTTGGGACAGCCCCTCCTGTGACCTCGGAGGGTTCTGGCAACCAGGTGAGCTGGTGTGTGTGTGGGAACAGCATGGAGCTCTGTGAAATATCAGGCGTCTTCCCCGCCATGGGGCATCGTGGTCAGTGTGTTGTAGGGTCAGTTGACCACTTGGACACCTGGTTATGACCATTTCAGCCTCTTTTGGAAACATTCTGCTTTTATTCCCATTGGCAAACAAACTTGCTCAGAGGTTTTATGTGACAAGCTACAGGCAGCGCTGGAGTGTGGTGTGCCAGCATGAGAGGGTGTGAGCAGGGGGCACGTTTTCTCTGGAATCGTGCATTATAGGAATAAATCATGTGTGTGTTTGCACCTTCTCACCCCTATGTGAAGATGAAACTTTAGTGCTTGAGGTTAAAAAGTGTCCTCATGAAGGAGTCTGGCTCTTTCCGCCCTGGTCTAGAAAACAGTTTCCCGTGAAGGACCAGGGACTACAGATTTCCGGCTTCGGGGCCCTACGGCCTCCACCCCCGCCATGCAGCTCTGCAGCTGTAGCCTGAAAGCAGCTGCAGCTGCCGCGCGTAAGGGGTGGCTCTGGGCAGGAAACCACGTGCGAACCGCCCCACGGCAGGGTGCGTCCCACAGAAGGAGCAGTGTGTTCCGTCCCGCTGCACGGCCTGCGAGGGATTTCCATGGTGAGGGTGAATCACGAGGGCTTCTTGTGGCCTGGTCTGTCTTACCTGCCTCTCCTTCATGCAGGCTATTTTTTTTTTAAGCAAGGAAAGAATAACTTTATTGTAAGTATTAATTAATTAATTAATTAATTAATTAATTTATTTATTTTTGAGACAGAGTCTCCCTCTGTCGCCAGACTGGAGTGCAGTGGTGGGATCTTGGCTCGCTGCAACCTCCACCTCCCGGGTTCAAGCAATTCTCCTGCTTCAGCCTCCCGAGCAGCTGGGACTACAGGTGTGTGCCACCACGCCCAGCTAATTTTTGTATTTTTAGTAGAGATGGGGTTTCACCATGTTGGCCAGGATGGTCTCGATATCTTGACCTTGTGATCCCCCCCTTGGCTTCCCAAAGTGTTGGGATTACAGGTGTGAGCTATGCGCCCGGCCTATAAGCATTTATAAGCATTTATCTCCAACTCCAAGGTTGCCATATTCAGTGATATAAACATTGGTTCTGGATGGTGGAAAATGTTATGGCTGTGGGATAAATTTATTATTAAATTTATTCAGACCAGAGGGAAGGTGAAGCCCATGTCTCCTCGCTCTTCCCCACGGGAAACGGAGGGGGGCTGCCCGGGAAGCTCCATGGACATCTTCCTGGGGCCCTGGAGAGGCACGGCTGGCGGGAGGCAGTCACTTCCAGGCTGTGGTGTGACCCAAGATATTAACACAGGCCCCGTGTGAGGCTCAGCTGTCTACCCAGGCAGTGGAAAAGGATTTTTCAACAGAGACGCCGCAGACATGGGGCTTTAAAAGATTTCAAGTCTCGGATGGGTGTGGTGGCTCATGCCTATAATTCCAGCACTGTGGGATGCCAAGGCGGGTGGATCACAAAGTCAGGAGTTTGAGACCAGCCTGGCCAGTATGGTGAAACCCTGTCTCTACTAAAAATACAAAAATTAGCCAGGCATGGTGGCGGGCGCCTGTAGTCCCAGTTACTCGGGAGGCTGAGGCAGGAGAATGGCTCGAACCCCGGAGGCAGAGCTTGCAGTCAACCGAGAATGCGCCATTGCACTCTAGACTGGGCAACAGAGTGAGACTCCATCTCAAAAAAAAAAAAGAGATTTCAAGTCTCTATGATCCAAAATAGTGCTTTCCCAGCTATGTTTGCCGCATTCATCCTTTCTGCTGTGTTCGTGGGGCTGTCTGTGTAATGGCCACAGATCTGCTTCTGGAGGTTCTACTTTATTGCATTGGTTTTTGTTTATTGTTGATTTCTGTAAAAATACCACTCTTTTTATTTTTATGGCTCTGTAATATGTATTTTATATTTGATAATGCAAATCTTTGTATTTTTCTAAATTGTTTTATCTATACTTTTATAAACATTTTTTTAAGAGACAGGTTCTCATTCTGTCACCAAGGCTGGAGTGCAATGGTGTGATCAGAGCTCACTTCACCCTCAACCTCCTGGGCTCAAGTAATCCTTCTGCCTCAGCCTCCCAAGTAGCTGAGACTATGGGCACATGCCACCACACCCAGCTAATTTTTTTATTTTTATTTTTTGTAGAGACAGGGTCTCCCTACATTGCCCAGGCTGGTCTCAAGCTCCTGGCCTCAAGTGATTCTCCTGCCTCAGCCTCCCAAAATGCTGGGATTACAGGCATGGCCACTGTGCCTGGCCTTAGAATTAAATTAAATTTAAAACTTATTGCATGTAAAGTTGCCATACTAACAATGTTATTTTGTTCTACATAAGATCCCAGTGTTTCATCATTTATTCAGGTGTTTCATCACTTTATTTATGTATTTGATGTACTATAGATGTACATGGTTTCAGGCTAAATGTGATAATTTAATGCATTCACATATTTTGTAAAGATCAAACCAGTGCACTTGGGACATCCACCACCTTAAACATTTGTCTTTTCGTTATTGCTAGAACCATTAAAATTCTTCTCTTCAAGCTATTTTGAAATATACAATAGATTATTGTAATCTATAGTAAATCTATGAAAAAACTAGGTCTTATTTCTTCTTTCAAACTGTACATTTGTATCCACTAATCAGCTTCTCTTCATTCCTACACCCCTTGCCCTTCCTGGTCTCTGGTAGCCACCAATCTACTTTCTATCTTCATGAGGTCCACTGTTATAGCTCCTGAGGTGAGATCTGTCTTTCTGAGCCTGGCTTGTTTCACTTAACGTAGTGGCCTCCAGTTCCATCCTTGTTGCTAAAAACAACAGGATCTCATTCCCTTCTCTGACTGAACCATATTCCACTGTGTATATGTGCCCCGTTTTCCTCTTCCATTCATCTGCTGGTGAGCACTTAGGTTGATTCTCTATTTTGGCTACTATGGATAGTGCTGCAGTAAACATGGGAGTGCAGAGATCTCCTCAACATCCTGATGTCCTTTCTTTCGGGCGTACACTCAGTAGTGGAGTAGATGGGTTGTATGGTAGTTCTATTTCTGGTTTTTTGGGAACCTCCACACTGTTCTCCATGGGGGCTGCACTAACCTACATGCCCGCCCACAGTGTCTGAGGTTCCCTTTTCTCTTGCCAGTATTTGATACTGTTTTTAATAAAATCAATTTTAACTGGGGTGAGATGGTACCTCATTCCAGTTTTGATTTGCATTCCCATGATAATTAGTGATGTTGAGCATTATTTCATATACCTGCTGGCCATTTGTTTGTCATGTCAAATGTCAAGAAATAGACATTTCTTGAGAAATATCTATTCAGATCTTTGGCCCATTTTTAAAAATCAAATTATTGGATTTTTTTTCCTATAGAGTTGTTTGAGCTCCTTATATATTGGGGTTGTTAATCCCTTGCCAGGTGAGCAGTTTCCAAATATTTTCTCCCACTCTGTGGTCACCCTTTGTCTTCACTTTGTTGATTGTTTCCTTTGCTGTGCAGAAGCTTGATGTGATCCCATTTGTCTTTTTTTTCTTTTTTTTTTTTTTTTTTTTTTTGAGATGGAGTTTCGCTCAGTTGCCCAGGCTGGAGTGCAATGGTGTGATCTCAGCTTACTGCAACCACTGACTCCTGGGCTCAAGCGATTCTCCTGCCTCAGCCTCCCGAGTAGGTGGAATTACAGGTGCCCTGCACCACACCCGGCTAATTTTTGTATTTTTAGTAGACACAGGGTTTCGCCATATTGGCCAGGCTGGTCTCGAACTCCTAACCTCAGGTGATCCGCCCACCTTGGCCTCCCAACATTTGTCCATTTTTGCTTTGGTTCTTTGTGCTTTTGAAATCTTACCCCAAAAATCTTTGCCCAGACCAATGTTATATAGCATGTCCCCCATGTTTTCTTGTAGTCATTTCATAGTTTCAGGTCTTAGATTTAAGTCTTCAGTCCATTTTGATTTGACTTGTGTGTGTGGTGAGAGACAGAGGCCTAGTTTCTTTTGCATATAATTATCCAGTTTTCCCAGCACCACTTACTGAAGAGACAATCCTTCCCCCATTGTGTGTTCTTGGTGCCCTTGCTGAAAATCAGTTGGCTGCAAATGCACGAATTTATATCTGGGTTCTCTATTCTGTTCTATTGGTCAATGTGTCTGTTTTCATGCTGGTACCACGCTGACTCAGTTACAATAGCTTTGCAGTAAATTTTGAAGTCAGGCAGTGTGATGCCTCCAGCTTTGTTCTTTGTGCTCAGGATTGCTTTGGCGATTCAGAATCTTTTGTGGTTCCATATACGTTTTAGGGTCTATTTTCCATTTCCGTGAAGAATGTCATTGGTATTCTGATAGGAATTGCATTGAATCTGTAAATTGCCTTGGGCAGTGTTGTCATCTTAAGAATATTAATTCTTCCATAGTCCTGGATAATTTCAGATAATCCATGAGCATGGACTATCTTTCCACTTTTTGATGTCCTCTTCAATTTCTCTCATCAGTGTTTTACAGCTTTCTTTTTATAGGTCTTTCACTTCTTTGGTTAAATTGATTCCTAGGTATTTTATATTCTTTGTAGCTATTGTAAACAGCATTACTTTCTTGGTTTCCTTTTCTGATTTTTCACTATTGATGTAAATAAATACTACTGACTTTTGTATGTTGATTTTGTAACCCACAACTTTACTGAATTCACTTATCAGTTATAACAGTTTTTTTTTGGTGGAGCCTAGGTTTCTCTAGGTATAAAATCATGTCGTCTGCAAACAAGGGTAATTTGACTGTTTTCCTTTCCAAACTGGATTCCCTTTCTTTCTCTTGCCTGATTGCTCTGGCCAGGATTTCCAGTACTATGTTGAATAAGAGTAGTAAAAATGGGAATCCTTGCATTGTTCCAGATCTTAGGGAAAAGGCTTTCAACTTTTCCCTGTTCGTCATGATGTTAGCTGTGGGTTTTCATTTATGGACTTTAAGATTTTGAGGTACGTTCCTTCTATATCCAATTTGATTAGGGTTTTCATCATAGAGGGATGTTGAATTTTATTAGATGTTTTTTGACATTTATTGAAATGATTATATGGTTTTGGTCTTGGTTCTGCTAATGTGATGTATCATGTTTATTGACTTGCATACGTTGAACCATTATTGCATCCCTAGGATGAATCACAATTGTTTATGGTGAATGATCTTTTTAATGTATTGTTAAATTCAGTTAGCTAGTGTTTTGTTGGGAACTTTTGCATCTATATTCATCAGTGATATTTGCCTATAATTTTGTCTTATTGTTTCCTTGTCTGGTTTTAGTATCAGGGTAATGCCGCCCTTGCAGAATGAGTTTGGAAGTGTGCCCTTCTCTTCAGTCTTATTGAAGAGTTGGGGTGAAATTGACATTAGTCCTTTTTCAAAAAAAAATTTGTGGGCACATAGTAGATGTATATATTTATGGGGTACATGAGATGTTTTGATACAGGCATGCAATGTGTAATAATCACATCAGGGAAAATGGGGTATCTACCTCCTGAAGCATTTATCCTTTATGTTACAAACTATCCAATTATATTCTTTTAGTTATTTTAAAATGTACAATTAAATTATTATTCACTATAGTCAGAGTGTGGTGCTATCAAATAGTAGGTCTTACTCATTCTTTCTAGCTATTTTTTGTACCCATTAACCATCCCCATCTACCTCCCACCCCCACACACCTCCCCACTACCCTTCTCAGCCACTGGTAACCATTTTTCTACTCTCTATCTCCATGAGTTCAATTGTTTTGACTTTTAGATCCAAGAAATAAATGAGAACATGAGACGTTTGTCTTTCTGTGCCTGGTTTATTTAACATAAGATAATGATTTCCAGTTGTGACCATGTTGTTGCAAATGACAGGCTCTCATTCTTTTTTTATGGCTGAAGAGTATTCCTTTGTGTATATGTACCATATTTTCTTTATCCATTCATCTGTTGACGGACACTTAGGTGGCTTCCAAATCTTGGCTATTGTGAACAGTGCTTCAGCAAATATGAGAGTGCAGATATCTCTTCAATGTACTGATTTCCTTTCTTTTAGGTACACACACAACAGTGGGATTGCTGGGTCATGTTATAGCTCTATTTTCAGTTATTTTGAGGAACCTACAAACTGTTCTCCATAGTGGTTGTACTAATTTACATTACCACCAACAGTATACGAGGGTTCCCTTTTCTCCACATCCTTGCCAGCATTTGTTATTGCCTGTCTTTTGGACATAGCCATTTTAACTGGGGTGAGACAGTATCTCATTGCAGTTTTGATTTGCATTTCTCTGATATCAATGATGTTGATCATCTTTTCGTGTGCCTGTTTGGCATTTGTATGTCTTTTTTTTTTGAGACGGAGTCTTGCTCTGTTGCCTAGGCTGGAGTGCAGTGGCGCAATCTTGGCTCACTGCAAACTCTGCCTCCCAGGTTCATGCCATTCTCCTGCCTCAGCCTCCTGAGTAGCTGGGACTACAGGCGCCTGCCACCACGCCCAGCTAATTTTTTGTATTTTTAGTAGAGACGGGGTTTTGCCATGTTAGCCAGGATGGTCTCGATCTCCTGACCTTGTGATCCACCCACCTTGGCCTCCTAAAGTGCTGGCATTACAGGCGTGAGCCACCACGCCCAGCCTGGCATTTGTATGTCTTCTTTTGAGAAATATCTATTCAAATCTTTTGCCCATTTTTTGATTGGATTGTTAGATTTTTTTCCCTGTAGAGTTGTTTGAGCTCCTTATATATGCTGGTTATTAATCCCTTGTCAGATGGGTAATTTTCAAATGTTTTCTCCCATTCTATAGGTGTCTCTTCACTTTGTTGATTATTTCCTTTGCTGTGCGGAAGCTTTTTAGCTTGATGTGATACCACTTGTCTATTTTTGCTTTGGCTGCCTATGCTTTTTAGACCTTACCCAAAAAATCTTTGCCCAGACCAATGTCCTATACCATTTTCACAATGTTTTATTTTAGTAGTTTCCTAGTTTCAGGTCTTGGATTTAAGCCTTTGATCCATTTTGATTTGATTTTTGTATATGGCAAGAGATAGGGGTCGAGTTTCACTTTTTAACGTATGGATAGCCTGTTTTCCCAGCACTATTTATTGAAGAGACTGTTTTTTCCCCAATGTATGTTCTTGCCACCTTTGTTGAAAATTAGTTCACTCTAGGTGTTGGATTTGTTTTTGGGTTCTCTATTCTGCTCCATTGGTCTATGTGTCTGTTTTTATGCCAGTAGCACACTGCTTTGGTAACCATAGCTCTGTAGTATAATTTGAAGTCAAGTATTATGATTCCTGCAGTTGTGTTCTTTTGCTTCAGATAGGTTTGGCTCTTCTGGGTCTTTTGTGGTTCCATATAAATTTTAGGATTGTTTTTTCTATTTCTGAGGAATGTCATCGGTACTTTGATAGAAATTACATTGAATTTGTAGATTGCTTTGGGTAGTATGGACATTTTAATAATATCAATTCTTCCAATCCATGAACATTGGATATCTTTCTATTTTTTGATGTCCTCTTCAATTTCTTTCTCCTTTAAGTGTTTGGTAAAACTCAGCAGTGAAGCCATCAGGTCCTGAGCTTTTCTTTCATAGGAGACTTTTTATTATGGCTTCAATCTTGTTACTCATTATGGGTTTATTGAGATTTTATACCTTTTACATGGTTCAATCTTGGTAGGTTGTATGTGTCCATAAAGTTATCCACTTCTAGGTCTTCTAATTACTTGACATATAATTGTTCACGGTAGTGTCTAATGATAGCTTTTATTTCTGTGGTCTCAGTTTTTATGTCTCCTTTTTCATTTCTGATGTTATTTATTTGGATTTTCTCTCTTTTTCTTAGCCTAGACAAAATTTTGTTGATTTTGTTTATCTTTTCAAATAACCATCTTTTTGTTTCATTGATCTTCTCTATTTTTTTTTTAGTCTCAATTTACTTCTGCTGTAATCTTTATTTTTTTCTTTCCTTCTACTAACTTTGGGTTGGCTTTGTTCTTGCTTTTCTCGTTCCTTAAGGCCCATTGTCAGGCTGTTTACTTGAAGTCTTTCTACTTTTGTGATGTAGGTGTTTATTGCTATAAATGTCCCCCTTAGCACTGCTTGTGTTGCATCCCATAGATTTAGATATGTTATATTTCCATTGGCACTTGTTTCAAGGAATTTTTAAGCTTTCTTCTTAATTTCCTCATTGATCCATTTGTTGTTCAGAAGCTTGTTGCTTAATTTCCATGAGTTTGTGACATTGCTGAGGTTCTTCTTGCTATTGATTTCTAGTTTTATTCCATTGTGATCAGAAAAAAATACTTGATATGATTTCTACTCTGTTCAGACTTCTTTTGTGATCTAAGTTATGGTTTATCCTGGAGAATGTTTTATGTTCTGATGAAAAGAATGTGTATTCTGTAACAGTTGGCTGAAATGTTCTGTAAATGTCAGTGAAGCCTATTAGGTCTAGAGTGTAGTTTAACTCTGATGGTTCCTTTTTGATTTTCTGTTTGGATGATCTGTGCATTACTGAGAGTGGGGCATTGAAGTACCCTACCATTATTGTAATGTCATCTATCTCTCCCTTTAGATCTATTACTGTTTGCTTTACATACTTGGGAGTTCTGGTGTTAGATGCATAGATATTTATAATCATTATGTCCTCTTGCTGAATTGACTTCTTTATCATTACATATTTACCTTCTCTGTCTCTTTTTATAGGTTTTGATTTGTAGTCTGTTTTATCTGATATAAATGTAGCTATCTTGCTTTTCTTGTTTTTGGTTTCTAGTTGCATGGAGTATCTTTTTCCATACCTTCACTTTCAGTCTGTGTGTGCCTTTATAGATGAAATGGGTTTCTTATAAGCAATATATAGTTGGTTTGAGACCAGCCTGGGCAACATGATGAAACGCTGTATCTACAAAAAATACAAAAATTATCTGGGCATGGTGATGTGCACCCATAGTCCCAGCTATGTGGCAGACTGAGATGGGACGATCACCTGAGCCTGGGAGGTTGAGGCTGCAGTGAGCTGTGGTCACACCATTGTACTCCAGACTGGGTGATAGAGACCCTGTCTCAGAACCAACCAAACAAACAAAATGCCCAAACATATAGTTGGGTCTTATTTCTTTATCCATTCAGCCACTCTGTGCCTTGTAACTGGAGTATTCAGTCCATTTACATTCAGTGTCATTGTTGATAAGTAAGGACTTACTACTGCCATTTTGTTGCTTGTTTTCTGGTTATTTTGTAGCTCCTCTCTTCCCTTCTTCCGTCTTCCTTTTTAGTTAAATGGTTTTCACTGGTAGGATGTTTTAATTTGTTATTTATTTTTAGTGAATCTATTATAGGTTTTTGCATTATGGTTTTCATGAGGCTTACACAAAACATCTTACAGTTATTTTAAAGAGATGACAAGTTATTTTAAAGAGATGACAACTTATCTTAAATCACAAGGAAAATAATAGAAACAAACAAAAAATGAAAAGGTCTACATTTTAGGTCTACCCCCTCCCCATCTGGCTTTTAGTTGTCTCAACTTACATATTTTTATACTGCTTGTCTCTTCACAGTTTGCTGTAGCTATTGTTGTTTTTGATAGATTTGTCTTTTGAGCTTCATACTAGGGTTATGAGTGGATTTCACACAACAGTTACTGTATTAGAGTTCTGGGTTTGTCCATGTACTTAATCTTACCAGTGGGTTTTCTATCTTCAGTTCTTTTCCTATTAGTGTTTTTTTTTTTCATTCAAATTGAAAAACTCTCTTTAGCATTTCTTGTAAGTCTGGCCTGGTGCTAGTGAATTCTCTCAGCTTTTGTTTGGGAAAGTCTTTATCTCTCCTTCGTACCTGAAGGATAACTTTGCTATATAGAGTATTCTTGTATGGAAGTGTTTTCTCTTTCAGCACTTTGAAAATGTCATTGCACTCCATCTAGTTCTGAATGGTTTCTGTTGAGAATGTTATTGACAAATGAATTGGAACTCCTTTATATATTATTTGCTTCTTTTCTCTTGCTGGTATTAGAATTCCCTTTGTCCTTGAACTTTGAGAGTTTGATTATTGTATGCCTTAGGGAAATCTTATTTGGGTTAAATCTGTTTGGTGTTCTCTGACCTTCCTGTACCTGAATACTTATGTCTTTCTCGAGTTGTGGAAAATTTTCTGTTATTATTTATTCAACTAAGTTTCTACCCCTTGCTTTTGCTCAACCCCCTCTTGAACACCAATAATTATTAGATTTGGTCTTTTGAGGTAATTTGCTATATCTTGTAGGAGATCTTTATTTATTTTTATCTTGTTTTCTCCTTCATGTATTTTCAAATAGTCTTCCAGCTTACTGATTCTTTCCTCTGCTTAGTTCATTCTGCTATTAAGAGACTAATTTTTTTTAGTTCAGCAAATGTGTTTCTCAGTTCCAAGATTTCTGTTTTTTTTAAAATTTGAATCTCTTTGTTAAATTACTCATAAAATTTTTAATTTCTTTTCGGTATTATCTTGGAGATGACTGAATTTCCTTAAAACTACTCTTTTGAATTTTTGGTCAGAAAGCTGGCATATGGATCTCTCATTAGGGTCAGTTTTTGTTTCTTTTCTTTTGTTTTGTCTTTGTTTTGTCCATTTGGGGAGATCATGGCTCCTCGTTTACTGTTGTTTCTTGTGGGTGAACATCTATGTCTTTGCATTGAAGGACTGGTTATTTATTCCAGTCTTCTCTGCCCAGCTTTATTTTGTTTTAATTGAATATATTTGCTTAGAGGTTCCTTACCACTAAACTACTGCCTCCCTTATGGCTTCAAGAGGTGCCTTAAACCCAGTTTTGCCTCAGCTCTAGCAAAGGATCAGAACATTGCTGTTCCCAGATGGGGGAGGTCCTGATTGGCATATCCCAGCAGTGTGGGAAGGCTGGCTTAGGAGTTTGTGCCCAGGAGACTTGTGGGACAAACTTCCTATAGCCTCGTGCTGCTGAACAGCCACTCTCGTTTGGCGTCTCCTGTGGCTGAATTACAGAACAGAGTTTCCGGGGCTGAGTTACAGAGCAGAGTTTCTAGGGCTGGGTGTGGGAATCCTGCTTGTCTCCTTTGTCTCTGTCCTTAGGGATATTTCTCCCTTCAGGCACTCATGATGCTTCCTGTGGGTTAAGAGAGGGACAGATCTCCTGCCAGGGAACCCAAGATGGTGGGGAAGCTATTTGTCTACATCAATTTCACCTTTTCCAATGCAGAAACAGTGAGATGGGGGAACTTTTTCATGTGCTTGGTACTGGGCAGAATAGGAAGAGGGGTGTCATGGATGTGAAGTCCAATTCTCTTACCATCTGCTCAGTTTTTTCACTTCTTGGTGGCCCCAGGAATGGTTTTATCTTTGTATTTGATTTCTGGGATATTTCTGGTGATAATCTCAGCACTGTATATTTGTTTTAGGCTTTGCGTGTTTGGGGATGAGTGAATCCAGCTTGTTTCTATGCTGCCATCTTGGAACTGGAAGTCCTTTTACACAGGTTATTTAAGCTTTTCCTCCAGGGATAGCAAATGCACTCTATTGTCCCAGCTTCCATAAGTTGGCAGTGCCATCTGGGATCCTCTGGTGAGAAGAGATGTCACAATCGATTAGCAATGTCTGCCATGGGTGTGAGTGGGCCAGGCAGTGGTATGTGTGCTGAGGATTTGCCATCTGGGATCAACTGCTTCAGATCTATGAGTCTGATCCTGTCAACCTAATCAAATACCTTTCAAGTCCAAGAAGAACGGGCCTTATGAGACAAGACTGAGATAATGAGGCTGAATTTCAAAAAACATGCCTGAACTTTGGGGGGAATTAAATTAGTACAGTTCCTTTACACAGGCTGCTTTGGAAGGCATTGCACTTGTGCCAGTGAGGCTAGCTTTGCTTGTACATTTTTGGAGTGCTGTTTTAGAATTGCTGGTTAATAATGGACCATAAAACATATAATTTTCAATCATTTATGGTCTCATCTCACTTTTGGCTTCAAATGCCATTACCCTGTCTTATCATTTGCTGTTCTCTGGGCTTGATCCCATTTAACTCTTGGTTGTATCCCGAATGAGATCTGTCCTAATAAAATGAAGATGTGTCTCCTCTGAAAGTGCCAAGAACAGCTTGCAGGCTCTGAAGGCCATACGGAAAAGGAAATTCCCAACCTCTAAATACAGGGAGCATCATTAGAAGGGTGAGTGCCTTCCCAAGTAGTACTGGTAAGGAGGAGACTCATCTGCTGCTGAACCATGGGCGTTGGTTGGAAGCCAGTTCTGTTACTCTCAATCTGTGCCTGGGCCACCTCTAAAGAGCCATACATCACCCACACCTGGTGGTCCTCTTGCTGACCACCGGATTTTGCTAAACTCATTTTCACGTACGTTGATTTTGTCTCCTTAGTGCTCTGCAGGAGCCAGGTGGATGCACTGGCACAGCCTCCCCTGCTTCTGGACATTGTGCCTGTGAGCCTGGGGTCTTTGTCAGTAACTGGCTGCTCCTCATTCTACCTGAGGCCAGACTCCACACCTCTTGTTCCTGAGCTCCAGCCCTGGGAGTCATCTGTGCTCAGGCAGCGGTCCCAGGTTAGATGCCTGCTTCCCCTTAGGCCCAGCCCCACCAGAAGAGACCCTGCAGCTGTTTCCAGTGGCCTGGGCTGCAAATCGTGAATGACTATTTGTTCAAACCACTAACATCTCAGCCCATGGAAAAGACCTAAGCGATCTCATGGCTGATTTTCTTCCTGGGCTGTTCCATATGCCAGGGCCCCTGGCTTTTCTTGAGCTGATTCTGATTCCTGAAAAGGGGTGAAAGGAATTTCTCCAGGCACTTTTGGAAGGAGCCCCAGCTGTGGAAACCTTCCCTGAACAACCAGACCACCAGCAAGACCTCACCTGGCCTTTAGTCCTGGAGGAGCAAAGGGCCTGGTGGTGGCACCCCCTGAGGTGTGCCCCGGGGCAGGACACAGAACACTGCAATATGTTATTACCGAGGTCAGGCTCAATTTTCCTTTTAATTTTCTCCCCTGGAAAGAAAAATCCCTTTCTTTGTATTTGGAAGGCTTAACTTTAATCTCATGTTCCCCTTTTAGCTAATGATGTGGTACACCTTGCAAGAAACGGAAGTTCATACAACTTCTTCAGCATCTGAGTAGGGGAGAGCTGGATTTTAAAGGAAATTTGTAAGTGATTTTTATCGTTAACTGAAATTTCATTCATAGATGTTCTTCTGTTCTCTTTCTGCTCCTGTTTGTCACACAGACATACACAACCAAGCCATGGCTGCTATTCAGAAGCCGCTTTGCCTGGAGTATCTCAAAGCAGCAGCTGGCCCTTGCGGAGTGTTCCGTGCACGAGTCCTGCATCCAGGCACTTGCCCGTGTACTTTCCTCAAACGTACTCATTTAATCCTCAGGAGAGTCCCATGAGGTAAGCAGCTTTAGCATCCCTATTTTACAGGTGGAAAAACTGAGGCACAGACCAGCTGTCACCTTTCCAGCCTGTCTGGGGCCAGAGTCCATGCCCCGACCCCCATGCCATTGAGCTCTGGTGAGCCCTGCATCCCCCGCTGCTGCCTGCACATGCCTCGATCTCTCCTCCACAGCTTCCTCTCAGCTTCTCCAGGGTCCCAACCCCGTTTCTGTCTTCTTTCTGCAGTTGGAAATGGTCATTGTTTCACATATGCAGGGCTCTCACGCTGTGTATTTAGAAGCCCTTAATGAAGGAATCCATTCCAGAAGATAACATATATGGGCTTTTCTGGTAGAACACAAACAATTATTTAGTGGTGAGAGAGAAACTTTTGAAATGGTCTTGACGTTCAGAGCTTGAGAAATGACAATGAAAGGAAGCAGACTTAATGAAACGGCGTTTTAGAACACAGGGCTCGGGGAGGTGCTGAAGTCTGATGCAGAGACCAAGCTCAGATGAGGGCAGTCCACCTGTCGCTGTGTTCTACTAGAATTTAAGCTCACGGGGGCAGGAGTTCTGCCTGTTCCTGCTATATGGGCGCAGAACAGTGCCTGACACATCTTCCTGGTCACCTGTGATGGCTGGGCACCATGCTGGACAACGGGAGGGCGGTGGCCCGTGAGAGTGCTGGAGTTCCTGCACTCACAGAGGTTAGGACTAAAGGGAGAACAGTCCGTTCCGGTCCGGACCTCAGACTTTGGGTAAGTGTCAGGGTTCAGGGAGGACTTTAAAAATGGCTGGGATTTCTTCCCAGCCATGGCCACATCCCCTCTAAGGTCCCTCAAAGGCTCGTGCTACAAGGTCTGAGTAGAGCTATCAGGCTTTGGAGGTCACTTATCCCACCAAGGCCTCAAGGGCCCTTTATTCATCCGGCTGCTGGTCCCACCTGGGAGTGGTGCACGTTTGAGGTATGGACCCTGAAAGACCTAGAAACAAATAATGTGTTTGATAACTTGTTTCTTTTCACATTTGTTTAGAGAAAAAGAGGTTAATTACCACAGTAGCATAAAGGCCAATTAACTGTCCACATAATCAGGTTTACCAGTAGCTGCCCTTCCATCCTCCATGCCTGTGGACACCTTGCGGGCAGACAACATTGGAAGCATTCATCTGATCCACCGTGCTTCCCGGGCTCCTGAGCCAGGAGGAGCTGTGTACAGTGTTGCCCACACTGTGTCTTCTAATGAAGCCTTTTATTTTATGGTAGCTGCTGGCAAGAAAGCAGAGGGTGGAAACTCCTCTCCCTCCTCCTTAGTGAATGTTTCCACTGCTGTGATTCCATTTGGATCAGAGTTGATTTTCTGTGGACTTTCATACACTCTCCATTCTGGGCAGAAGCAGTGAGGTCTCCCTCCAACCATTTCATCTGTGCAGTCAAATCCCACCTTTCCACAAAGGCACCTTCCCCACCCTGGTTCTCTCTGATGTGTGTGGCCAGTCCTAGGAAAGCATCTAAGGCTTTCAGCTGTATTGAGGTTGCCTGTGTCCAGCCTGAGCCCAGCGCCTGGCACCCAGCAGGTGCTCTATAAATCTTTGCAGATGGAGGAAGGCAGGGGGAGGCTTGGCTTCCACTGTGCATCTGGCCACATCCAGGAGAGAGGAGGATTTTCCTGTCTTGGGTCTTGCTGAAGTCCCCCTGGCATGAGAGGCTCACACCCAGGCCAGTCATCACCTCTGCCCACCTTCTTTTTCCAGATAAGTCGAAGACTGTGAGTTGCTGAGGTGAGACTTCAGTGTCCTCTGGGTTATGAGGGGATAAGGACGAGATCTCTCAGAGAACTGAAGTTGTGACTGGCCTCCCTGCAGGCAAAGGCTGGCTCTCAGGCAGGTTCGGGGGGTTTGGTCACCAGTAGCAGCCCTTTGGTCCCTGCGACCCCTGGCGTCCCTGTTCAGTGTGCCGTGTGTCCACCCGGACTTCGGATCTTTCCATGGTGCCAGCCTGGCCTTTTACTTTCACGCAGCTGCTCCACAGTCACTCTGCACAACACCAAACCTTACCACATAACACACACCTCATCTCACAATGCCACATCTCACCACACCACACCTCACCTCACAATACCACATCTTTCATCTTAAAATACCACACCTCATCTCACAAGACCACACCACACCACGCCACACCACATAGCACCACAGCAACACACAATACCACACAGCACCACTTCACACTCACCCACCCACTCCAACTCAATTTCAACCCAGTAGTACGTTACCTGTGAATGAATGCTGGGACCACCAGGGTCCCCCAGAAGGCAGTCATAACAATCTGCCCAGCTGGAGGGAGAAACAAATGTTTGTTTGGACAATTTGCATCCGCTCCTTCATACTACTTCTTCAAACCGGATAAAAGAGAACTCTGTATAATATACACAGAAACTCCTGTTACTGGCAGAATCTTAAAATATTTATACAGCATACAAACAATACCAAGGAATTTCCTACAAGCTATATATTGACTTCATAAACACAAGGCCATTATGTATTTGTCTTAATTATACACAACAAGTTATTGATTACAGTACAGTAAAATCTGAAGGCAAAAATCTCAAGATCAACACTTCTGTATACACTGTGCTGTTGCAAATGGCTACTGCGATAAGCTAGGAGATCAACCCGTGGCACTGTTAATCTCAGAGGCTGAAGATGCATGGACTTTGGGAACCTGGGGCCTCTCTGTGTGGCTAGAGAGGGAGTTAGCTCAGCCTGGTGGGTGTGATGGGTGTGTCCCGCTGTCCACACAGGAGGGCACTCATCTGGTGGGCCATGTTGCCGGGAGACCCTGAAGCACCTGGGTAAGCTGCTGTGTCCTCAGCCTTGGCCACTTCCCATGTGCCAGTGAGTGACGTTCAGGGTTTGTATTAGTCAGGGTTCTCTAGAGGGACAGTAGTAATGGAATATATATATGTCACATGTGTGTATACACACGCACACATGTAAGGGGGAGTTTATTAAGTATTAACTCACACAATCATAAGGTCCCACCATAGGCCATCTGCAGGCTGAAGAGAAAGGAGAGCCAGTCTGAGTTCCAAAACTGAAGAACTTGGAGTTCGCTGTTCAAGGGCAGGAAGCGTCCAGCACGGGAGAAGGATGTGGCTGGGAGGCTAGGCCAGCCTCTCTTTTCACATTTTTCTGCCTGCCTGCTTTATAGTCTAACCTCACTGGCAGTTGATTAGATTGTGCCCACCCAGATTAAGGGTAGGTCTGTCTTTCCCAGCCCACTCACTCAAATGTGAATCTCCTTTTTTAACACCCTCACAGACACACCCAGGATTGATACTTTGTATCCTTCAATCCAATCAAGTTGACACAGTATAAACTATCTCAGGGTTCCTCACAGGAAGGAGATTGCGGCAGAGAATGTGGTGTTCCTTGCCCTTCCTCTCTCTGCTCTGCTCCCACCTTGGGCCACCACTGTGTCCCTCAGTACCATTTCTATTTCAGATTCCAGTATGTTCAAAAATAAAAAGAAAGTAAATGGTGCTTCTTCCCAGAAAATGTTTGTCCATTTCTGAGGTACATGTTTATTTTAATGTCATTTATCTCTGGGAATAAAGAATAACCCCCATAAGAATAACCCCCAACCACCCAAGTGGATAAAAACCAAAAATGTTCTGTCTTGGTCCATTTATGCTGCAGTAGCAGAATACCTGCACTGAGTAATTTATATTGACTCATGGTTATGGAGGCTGGGAAGTCCAACAGCATGGTACCAGCATCTGGTGAGGGCCTTTGTGCTGTGTCATCCCATGGTGGAAAGCAGAAGGGCAAAAGAGGGCAACAGTGAGAGAGGGCAGGGAGGGTTGAACTTGCTTTTATAACAAACCTACTCCCACAATAATGACATTAATCCCTTCATGAAGACAGAGCTCTCATGGCCTAAACACCTCCCTTGAGCCCTACCTTCCAACACTGTTGCACTGGGAATTAAATTTCCAAACACATGAACTTTGAGGGACACATTGAAACCACACCACCTTCCTAGTCTCAAGTCCAACTTACTAAGTGATCTTATATATGCTACATGTCATTTTTAGGCTCTTAGACTCTGAAAAACAGGGTCCTTAAGTTGTCTTTGTTAATGTTCAAAGTAAGGCTCAGACACATCTGTTACACAATGGGTTACAGAGGAAAGTGGATTGACCATGATAGAATGTCTTCATCAATAACTGAGAGGCAGGAGGACATACGTACATGTGGATGAGTCTAGTTCAGCATTGTCCATGTGACAGCTGGCCCCTCTCTGATCATGCTCCTTGAGCATGAGAACTTTGGGAAAGGAGCCATATTGATGTTCTGCTGGGAGGGAAAAGACTGCGTGGCCAGCCAGGAGAGGCAGCATGCAAGGGAGACCTGATGTGGTCCAGCCAGGCGACGCAGCATGCAGGGGAGACCTGATGTGGTCCTGCTGCCAGGGGCTGGAGCCCTTCAGTCATCACCTGAGGTCCTTCAGTGCAGCCCTGAAGTGACGCTGCTCCAGAACTCATGTCCATACCCCACCCTTCATCTGGCTGTGGGTGCCACATCCACGGCCCCTGCTCTCCAGGCAGGCTGTATACATGTCTTCCCAACTCCAGTCCCTCTAGAGAAGTTCAGAGGCTTCAGGTTGGTGGCTTGAAATTGGCCATGATGGGATCATTTTCACCATGGAAATTGGCAAATACTACAAGTCAGGGCTCTATTCTTTTCAAAGAGCAGGTTGTTGAAAATTTACTAGCTCATTACTGAATCCAGTCATCTATCTTTCCTACTGTTCAACCATTTCACCACCTCACCATCTATTTACCTCAGCCATTAAGGCCAGATGAATCCATTTGGAAATGACCAGGTCAACCAAGGAATTAGATGTAGCAAAACCTTGCTGACACATGTAAATGACTCAAGCAGAATCTCACTTGATTTTAATGATTTTTGAATTTTCCATTTATTTACAGCTGTCTCATCCACACTTAAATCAGTGTACACGTTTAGTGAATTTCCTTTATGGTATCTTTTCAAAGCATTCAGCTTAGATTACATGGACATAATGCCTCTGTTTTCACATGCATATTTTCTCACAATGAGGCTTATCTAGATACATAAGGCAATGACAATAATAAGCCCAATTGGAACAGATGATTCTGCAGGCAAACGCGGCCTGCTTTGGGGGTGTGCACGGTGTACATGCACATGTCCACCGGTGGGCGGCGGGCCACCATGATGGAGGTGCACAGGAGCACCTACTGCACTGTTGGGGGTCTCTGCCCTCTGTTCCAGGGACCAAGTGCTTCCTCCTGGTGGTCCCAGAGAGTTTTGCTAGGCTCACCCTACACTCAGTCGCAGGTCTTCCAAGACTCGCAATTTCCTGCAAAGCTTGAAACGCAGTGGGAGGCATTGCCTGAGTCCTGTCTGCTTCTGGGCAGCGCCTTCTCTGTCACAACTGCTGAGAGCATTTGTTGCCAGCCGCCTCTGCCCCCTCCTTTAGAAAGAGTGGCATGGCCCTCGTTACCTCTTGGTGGTACTGTTGACCAAGGGGCCTGCATTCCCTGGCTGAGGTCAGGAAGGACCCACGTGGGGACAGCTAAAAGATCGTCTCTCCTTGGACTCTTAGCTGAATGGTCCGAGGAGACAAAATGAAGCTTTGAGTAAATTAATTCTAATGTCAAGACTGCTCTAAGTGTGGCCCAGAGCAGGAGCACAAATGGAGGCTCAGATGCACACACCTAGGTACTGGAGAGATGTAAACCAAGATGTGAACCAAGGCATCTTGCCTCCCTTCCCCGCTGAATCTTACTGGAAAACTTCTTCCTGTCATCTGGCCATATGTCAAAGGCCATATGCCTTTATTTTCAGCCCTTTTTTTGTGAAACAGACTTTTGTTTCATTGAAAAGAAGGAATGCACTTTTATTTCTGACTTTTGGGGAAGAGGTGCTCTCGTTTTCAGGACAATTGGATAGAATGTGTTTACAGAAGAGTGTCCAATTCTAGTTCCATGAAAGCAGGGCATAGTGGCCCTGAATTCAGAGCTCTATGAGGGAAACACCGGGTTTTCTGTTTGGAGTCAGTTGGCACTGCTTAGAGAGCGGTGTGGGCACAAGACGTGTTTGAACATACCAGAGTCAGTGGTGTTCACCACGTATGTAATTAAAGAAAACATGTTCTGCATAAGCTGGGCACGTAGGGCTGTGACTCACACTGAGCAGATCTTCGCCAAGGTAGATCTTTGCATTTAGGTTTTCCTTCCTCCGGCTGAATAGGAGGGCAGAGGAGAGAGTGAAGAAAGGATAGTAATATTCTAGCATCTGAGTGTCTCCACCTGGTTCCCAAGGGCGAGGCCACCTGTGCTTGCAGCCAGGCGCTTCCCGACTTCGTTTCTTTCCGCACATGGCTCTCTGATGCACACTTGGATTCCGGGCCCCTTGTCTACAATGGCAGCTGCCTGGGAGCATGACCTAAGAATCCCAGAGTCCTGCATTCCTACTTTGTCACCAACCAAAGGCCTTAAAGATCTGAGACCTCCGTGCCCCTGCCTCTGTGCCCTTCTGTATTGATTAGTGGAAAAATGGAGCTTATTTGGTAGAATGGTTAAGATCCATTATCTACTAATTTAAGGGAAAGGCTAATTTAAAAGAAAAGGAGGGCTACTTCTCAGAACCAAAAAAAATTTAACCGAACTATATTTCCAGATGTAGAAATTTCTAAGCCAGGTGCAGTGGCTCACACCTGTAATCCTAGCACTTTGGGAGGCTGAGGTGGGTGGATCACTTGAGGTCAGGAGTTCAAGACTAGCCTGGCCAACATGGCAAACCCCCGTCTCTACTAAAAATACAAAAATTAGCCAGCCATGGTGGTGCATGCCTATAACCCCAGCTACTTGGGAGGCTGAGGCAGGAGAATCATTTGAACCTGGGGGGCGGAGGTTGCAGTGAGCTGAGATCACACCACTGCCCTCCAGCCTGGGCGATAGAGTGAAACTCTGTGGTCTCAAAAAAAACAAAGAATAAAAAAAGAAAGAAATTTGTATTACATATTTTAAGTCTGGTGAGTTTGATTAGAAGTGAAGTGAGACTTTTTTATCAAGACAATGTGTAGAGTCCTGTGTCCTCCAATTGCCAGTTGTATGGTCTTGGGAAATAACATCTTTCATGTCTCTGAGGCTCAGCTTTTGTCCTCCTCCCAGGGTGATGAAGGGTAGACGAGGTGGGGTCTCTGTGAGAGGCACCTGGGTGCAGTGGGTACCAGCCACGGGCTGGGAACTCAAATCTCTACTCTGTCTGTGATTGGCCGTGGGACCTTAGGCCGTCACCTTCACTGCTCTGAGCCCTTGTAGGATGAAGGTAACCTCACCACACAGAGGATTTGGGGGATTCTGTAAGAGCGTGTGTGTTCAACGCTGGCCCAAGGCATGGGCTGGGAACTCAAATCTCTACTCTGCCTGTGATTGGCCGTGGGACCTTACACCGTCACCTTCACTGCTCTGAGCCTTGTAGGATGAAGGTAACCTCACCACACAGAGGATTTGGGGGATTCTGTAAGAGAGTGTGTGTTCAATGCTGGCCCAAGGCATGGGCTGGGAACTCAAATCTCTACTCTGTCTGTGATTGGCCGTGGGACCTTACGCCATCACCTTCACTGCTCTGAGCCCTTGTAGGATGAAGGTAACCTCACCACACAGAGGATTTGGGGGATTCTGTAAGAGCGTATGTGTTCAACGCTGGCCCAAGGCATCGTCAGTGCCATTCAAGTCTTTATGGGGATAGGCAGAATGCGCTCAGCAGAAGAAAACTTCTTTTTCTTTTCACCATGGTTAAATGTCTAGTTTTACGGATGTAGAACAAAGGAGCCCATTTCCTGATAACCTCTGATTATTTATAACCTGTAAGCACCTCCTGGTTTTCCCATTTCACCTGAGTGTGGTAAGTCATGAGGAATTATTTCAACAAACGCTTATCACACACCCAGGAGGTGTCACACTTTGGGGAGATGAAGACAAATGAAACATTTATTTTAGTAAATGTATGAACCCAATAAACAAAGAGATTTTCAGATGCTGTGTGGGGTGCAGGGAGGAGTCGCTTTGTCCTGAAGGTGGAAACATCACAACCTGGCCACACCTGCCGTTTGCCCTCAGTCCTTCCTGGACGAGTTCATTTCTCAGATGCAGCTCAGATTGTCATCTTGCTTTAAGATTCTCAAAGGTCTTTACCACTACTCCATCTTCCAGGACACTGGATGCAGATGCCTTCTGCTGTGGAGTGTTTGTGTGTTGTTTAGAGCACAGGAATCCTGGGCTGCTGCCACCAGCCAGCCAAGCAGCAGCGCATCCAGGGAGGTGTCAAGGCCAAGTGATAAAGCCAGAAATCTGCTCCTTTTCGGTGGTTTTAAGGTGCTGAAACCTGAACAGCTCCAGGAGCTTCGTCCTCCTTAGATTTTTTTTATGGGTTAATAAAGTAAATACCTCCTTTCAAAAAGGATGTGTTTAGGAAGCTAAGCTGTTCATTTTTCAAAGTGAGTGATCTGTTTTACAGAGCTTAGACGCATGTCCAGCCGCCTGCTGTAAATCCTCTCTGGCTGTAAAGGACAATGTAAACAACGTGGGTGCCGTTTAAACAGTCCCCAGCATGGCACAGGCAGCGCCACTGGAAATGCCTCCATCTTTCTAAAGAGAAACAGATGTTTGAAGAGCGGAGCTGAGCAGAAGCCATTCTTCAAACAGAAGATTAAAGCATCTGTCGGGTATGCCGGGCCAGCGACCCTCAGTGGCCACCTCAGCTGGGCCTGCTGGTCACAGCTTCCAGGGTGTGTGGTGGAGGAGGGCGTTGGGGGGTGGGCGGAGGGGAAGGAGGGAGCTGAGTGCTGATGCCCAGGCCTCTCGGCTACTTCTCATTTCCAGAGTCAGAGTTACAGTGGCCCGTGGCCCATTGATGTCCTGCTGGCCTGTCCAGTGTGCTGCCAGCCCATCGGGGGTCCTGTTCACATTCCTAGGGCCTTCCCTGAACATTGTCCTTTTTATTCCTGACGCCAGTTGTCACTGAGGCCCTGGACAGAGAGCTCACACCTGGCCGGGTCTAGGCGTCCCTGCCCTGTGTCAGACCCTCCAGAGTCCCTTCCTCTTCCAGGTCCTCCGTCCAGAATTCACCTTCTGAAAGACTGGGGTGCACACCACACACAACATTCCTGGGATTCATGGGAAATAAATGTGCTCATCTCTTAGGACTAAGAAGGAGAGAACATCATTCCTGCTCTGCAGCTCAGTAAGAATTCCAAAATGTTGATGGAAGAAAGGGGATCAGAAGAGAAGTTTGCAGGGGATGCCTAGGGTTGAAGAGTCCCTTCTTTTTGCTTTCTCTTGTCCCTTCCCCAAAAAGGTCCATAAGAGAAATTCTTCCTGTGCAAAGCTTTAGTGAGCCTGGGGCACGGAGGAGCAAATCTGGAAAGGGTGACCTCCAGTGATGACCATGCAAGGGGGAGACGTGCGGGGGAGGACGTGGAGGAAGGAGATGGGCAGGGGAGGACGAGGAAGGGAGGATGTGAAGGAGGAACCTAGAGGAGGGACTGGATGAGGACGTGGATTAGGGATAAAGATGAAGGACAAGGAGGGTGGGCATGGAGGACAAAAATGGAGCAATGTCATGAAAGGAGGGACATGGTAAGGGTTTTTCTTACTGTGAGTCTCGTGGAGAGGGTCTCTTACTGTGAACATCAAAGTGTGGGTCTCCATCACTGTGAGCCTTGTGGACAGGGTCACCATCATTGTGAGACTCATGGACAGGGTCTTCATCACTGTGAGCCTCGTGGAGAGGGTGTCGATCACTGTGAGCCTCCTGGAGAAGGTCTCCATCACTGTGAGCCTCCTGGAGAGGGTCTCCATCACTGTGAGCCCCCTGGAGAAGGTCTCCATCACTGTGAATCTCCTGGAGAGGGTCTCCATCACTGTGAGCCTCGTGGAGAGGGTCTCCATCACTGTGAGCCCCCTGGAGAAGGTCTCCATCACTGTGAATCTCCTGGAGAGGGTCTCCATCACTGTGAGCCTCGTGGAGAGGGTCTCCATCACTGTGAGCCCCCTGGAGAAGGTCTCCATCACTGTGAATCTCCTGGAGAGGGTCTCCATCACTGTGAGCCTCGTGGAGAGGGTCTCCATCACTGTGAGCCCCCTGGAGAAGGTCTCCATCACTGTGAGCCTCCTGGAGAGGGTCTCCATCACTGTGAGCCCCCTGGAGAAGGTCTCCATCACTGTGAATCTCCTGGAGAGGGTCTCCATCACTGTGAGCCTCGTGGAGAGGGTCTCCATCACTGTGAGCCCCCTGGAGAAGGTCTCCATCACTGTGAATCTCCTGGAGAGGGTCTCCATCACTGTGAGCCTCGTGGAGAGGGTCTCCATCACCGTGAGCCTCATGGACAGGGTCTCCATCACCGTGAGCCTCGTGGACAGGGTCTCCATCACCGTGAGCCTCGTGAACAGGGTCTCCATCACTGTGAAACTCATGGAGAAGGTCTTCATCACTGTGAGCCTCATGGAGAAGGTTTCCATCACTGTGAGCCTCGTGGACAGGGTCACCATCATTGTGAGACTCATGGACAGGGTCTTCATCACTGTGAGCCTCGTGGAGAGGGTGTCGATCACTGTGAGCCTCCTGGAGAAGGTCTCCATCACTGTGAGCCTCCTGGAGAGGGTCTCCATCAATGTGAGCCTCATGGAGAGGGTCTCCATCACTGTGAGCCCCCTGGAGAAGGTCTCCATCACTGTGAATCTCCTGGAGAGGGTCTCCATCACTGTGAGCCTCGTGGAGAGGGTCTCCATCACCGTGAGCCTCATGGACAGGGTCTCCATCACCGTGAGCCTCGTGGACAGGGTCTCCATCACCGTGAGCCTCGAGAACAGGGTCTCCATCACTGTGAACCTCATGGAGAAGGTCTTCATCACTGTGAGCCTCATGGAGAAGGTTTCCATCACTGTGAGCCTCGTGGAGAGGATCTCCATCACTGTGAGCCTCGTGGACAGGGTCTCCATCGCTGTGAGCCTCGTGGAGAGGATCTCCATCACTGTGAGCCTTGTGGACAGGGTCTCCATCACTGTGAACCTCATTTAAAAGGTTTTCATCACTGTGAGCCTCATGGAGAAGGTCTCCATCACTGTGAGCCTCATGGAGAAGGTCTCCATCACTGTGAGCCTCGTGGAGAGGATTTCCATCACTGTGAGCCTCGTGGACAGGGTCTCCATCACCGTGAGCCTTGTGGAGAAGGTCTCCATCACTGCGAGCCTCATAGAGAAGGACTTCATCACTGTGATCCTCCTGGAGAGGTTTCCCATCACTGCGAACCTCGTGGACAGGGTCTCCATCACCGTGAGCCTTGTGGAGAAGGTCTCCATCACCGTGAGCATTGTGGACAGGGTCTCCATCACCGTGAGCCTTGTGGAGAAGGTCTCCATCACTGTGAGCCTTGTGGACAGGCTCTCCATCACTGTGAGCCTTGTGGACAGGGACTCCATCACTGTGAGCCTCGTGGACAGGGTCTCCATCACTGTGAGCCTCGTGGAGAGGGTCTCCATCACTTTGAGACTCGTGGAGAAGGTCTCCATCACTGTGAGCCTCCTGGAAAGGGTCTCCATCACTGTGAGCCTCGTGGAGAAGGTCTCCATCACTGTGAGCCTCCTGGAGAGTGTCTCCATCACTGTGAACCTCGTGGAGAGGATCTCCATCACTGTGAGCCTCGTGGACAGGGTCTCCATCACTGTGAGCCTCGTGGAGAGGGTCTCCATCACTGTCAGCCTCGTAGACAGGTTCTCCATCACTGTGAGCCTCGTGGAGAAGGTCTCCCTCACTATGATCCTCCTGGAGAGGGTCTCCATCACTATGAGCCTTGTAGACAGGGTCTCCATCACTGTGAGCCTGGTGGAGAGGGTCTCCATCACTGTCAGCCTTGTAGACAGGTTCTCCATCACTGTGAGCGTCGTGGAGAAGGTCTCCATCACTGTCAGCCTTTTAGACAGGTTCTCCATCACTGTGAGCCTCGTGGAGAAGGTCTCTCTCACTGTGATCCTCCTGGAGAGGATCTCCATCACTGTGAGCCTTGTGGACAGGGTCTCCATCACTGTGAGCCTCGTGGAGAAGGTCTTCATCACTGTGAGCCTCGTGGAGAGGGTCTCCATCACTGTGAGCCTCGTGGACAGGGTCTCCATCACTGTGAGCCTCGTGGAGAAGGTCTTCATCACTGTGAGCCTCCTGGAGAGGGTCTCCATGACTGTGAGCCTCGTGGACAGGGTCTCCATCACTGTGAGCCTCGTGGAGAAGGTCTTCATCACTGTGAGCCTCCTGGAGAGGGTCTCCATCACTGTGAGCCTTGTGGAGAAGGTCTCCATCACTGTGAGCCTCCTGGAGAGGGTCTCCATCACTGTGAGCCTCGTGGACAGGGTCTCCATCACTGTGAGCCTCGTGGACAGGGTCTCCATCACTGCGAGCCTCGTGGACAGGGTCTCCATCACTGCGAGCCTCGTGGATAGGGTCTCCATCGCTGTGAGCCTCGTGGAGAAGGTCTTCATCACTGTGAGCCTTGTGGACAGGGTCTCCATCACTGTGAGCCTCGTGGACAGGGTCTCCCTCACTGTGAGCCCCACAGAGAGGGTCTCTTTCACCATGAGCTCCTTTGTGAGGGTGTGCAATTCTTTTGGTATAATCTTGCATATTTTACTCCTAGTTACCAGTTTCTTTAATTAGGAACTTTCCTGAGCTCCTGCCTGTGGCCTGGGTTGCTTGCAGCTTCCACTCTCTTTTAGTGCCTTTGTTTTTTGGGGAATCAGTGGCTCAGTGTCCTTCTGAGGGACTTGGCTTCTTTGTTTACGTTGCTTGTGTGGCCTGGGATGCACACTCTCAGCTCCCTACGGCTCATTTCCTCTTTCTTCAGGGAAGGGATTACCCCTCCATGTCTGCTGGGCTCTTTCCACCCTTTAATTCTGAACATCATTCCCCATCCTTTTAAACAGCAACTCAGAAGCCTCAAGATGGCTTCGTGGAGGCTGGAGCCATGCATGGATTGTATCCTTGGCCGGAAATGCCTCCTTCCTGACCTGCTGGGCCCCTCCTGTTGTGGGTGCTGTCTATCTGTGGCCCAGGGCTGGGCTCCTCACCGTGTCTGGGAAGCTGAGTGCTGTATCCACGTAGTTTCAGACTCACAGAAAGGGGCCTTGGTCTGGAGGGCACTGAGTTTACAGGAACGAGCCATCTG
Source organism: Homo sapiens (assembly GCF_000001405.40). NCBI lineage: Eukaryota > Metazoa > Chordata > Mammalia > Primates > Hominidae > Homo > Homo sapiens. Next base: position 170,041 of record NT_187552.1, read on the forward strand.
ACGGCCAGGTGAGACTGCCGGTTCTGACAGGGCCACCTTCTGTGGCATGGAGGCCTCCATGCCCTGGACTTAGTTTCCATGGAGGAAGAGAATTAGGATGGTTCTGAGCAGCTTGGGGATCTCTCTCCACACCACATGCATTTGCAAATGCTCTCTTCTGTATATGGATCCTGGACGGAAGACGTTCAGGTCTCCTGACCCTGCAGGGCAGTGTGGGGACCCCTAGCCACATCCCTGCATCCCTTGGCCAGCGTTGGCCCTGCTCTGTGTCTAGTGGCCACCAGCAGCATCTATGGCTTTGTGGGAAATGGGGTGGAACAATGTCTCATGGGATCTGAAGCTCCTAATTTTATTTTTTTATTGTGTCATAAGCCTGTATTTTGGTAGGAAAAGATACAGAAGTTGTTTCAATGAGCTCCTTTCATCTCCACTGCTTTGGGGATTCATGCTGTGGTGCCGTTTTATGCCCTGTAATGAAACTGTGTGGAGTGGACGAGAACGCCCCTGGGAGGTGCCTTCGGAAAGGCAGCCGGGTCCACCTTCCAATCTTGCATGCGGTTCCGGGACCCTGCATCCCTCTTAAAGCTTGGGTCACATCAGTAAATGCACAGAATCCTGAAGAAAGGTAGTGACCGGCCACTCCACGCTTCACTCAGGCGAAACCTGGAGTGCTGTGCTCAGCTTTGGCTGATATGTGTTAGAACAGGGACCCCCAGCTCCCGGGACAGGCTGGTACCATCCATGGCCTGTTAGGGTCCGGGCTGCGCAGCAGGAGGTGAGTGGTGGGCGAGCGAGCGTTCCCACCTGAGCCCCTACTCCTGTTAGATCAGAGGCAGCATTCGATTCTCAGAGGAGTGTGAACCCTACTGTGCATGGCACATGCCAGGGATTTAGGCTGCGGGCTCCTTATGGGAATCAAAGTCTGATGATCTGAGGTAGCAGTTTCATCCCGAAATCATTTCCCCCGCCCACCGTGCATGAAAAATCGTCTTCCAAGAAACCAGTCCCTGGAGCCAAAAAGGTTGGGGCCTGCTGTGTTCAAGGACATCGTCAGTTTCTTGGGGATGGGACTGTGTTGTCCTCGTTCACCAAAGGGTCCCCCACACCTAAAATACTGCCGGCACAGAGATGCCTGCTAACTCACTTCTGCATTAATTCAGGGTATTCAAACCATGGTTTCTGATCATCTGCTATGTGCTGGGCAATGTCGTAGGTCCCAAGACACAATCATAAATAAAAGATACAGGATGATGATGCCTGGACCACAGGAGCATGCTCAGAAGACAGAATGAGGAAATGCAACCCTTTCTCATGATGGAGGCTCGAAGGGTTGAGAACAGGTGGCTTAGAGAAAAAAAAAAGGCTTGAAGAGAATCAAATTAGGGCTCTCCAGAAAAACAGAACCAACAGGGTGTATGTGTGTATGTGTGAGAGAAAGAGAAAGAGAGAGAGGCAGAGAGAGAGAGAAAAAGAAAGAAACATTTTAAGGAAGTGTCTCCTGTGATTGTCAGGGCTGGCATGTTTGAATTCTACAGGGCGGCCCGGCAGGCTGGAGACCCAGGAAGAGGCAACACTGCAGCTGGAGTCTAAAGGTCTCTGAAGGCCGAAGTCCTTCTTCCTCTAGGAACCTCAGTCTTTTCTTGTAGTCCTTCACCTGATTGGACAAGGCCCACCCATACTTCGGAGGGTCATCTGCTTTACTCAAAATCAACTGATTTAAATACTGATCTAATCTAAAAACACCTTCACAGCAACCTGTCTGGCCAAACACTGGCACTGTGGCCCAGCCAAGTGGGTGCATAACATTAGCCATGCAGGGTGGACAGGCCTCTCCACAGCCCAGAGGCGGGTGACTAAATTAAAAACAAACAAAAAAACCAATTGCGGAGAAACCCAGGGTAGGGATGATCAGCAGGATGGTACATTTCATCTCTGCTGGTCATTTCAACTTTGCTCACCACACACTTTCCCCTCTCGCTGGCAGGGCCAGGGGACGAACGAAGGCCATGTTCCGAGGTTGTCATGAGTTGAAAAGTCTTTTCGGGTTATGGAAATCAGCTAAATGAACACTTTTGAAATGGGGCTGCACTAATCCAATGATTGTTCACCTCTGAAACCAGCCTGGCTCCTCTGTCATGCGGAGACATGAGGTGACTCTGAGTCCTGTCAGAGACACTCACACTCCTGCAACACCAGCCCCAGCCCAGGGCCTCTTACAGAAACGCGTGTGGAGGAGAGGGGATGGAGAAGGGTGCTGTCCCCTGGGCCCCTTGGCAAGTGGCTAGTGGAGCTCAGAACCGAAGGGTTGATTTTGCCTGAAAATTCACCAAGGAGCCCCCATAGAGGGTGGGAACTGATGGGCACAGAGGAGGCCCAGGAGGTCCTGGCCACGTGCAGAAGCTTGGGTGACCCAGGGCACAGATCTCGCCCACTGAAATGTCAGCTTCTGGGGTCACCGCACCTGAGCCACCAGGAGCCTAGGCCATGGGGTTCGGTTTCTGCTTCTCAGAGGAAACAGATCCTGGCTCTATGGCTGGCACCAACACAGCTCATGCCCTGCCCTGACTAGGCCAATGACTTGTGCCTGGGGCTGGACTCAGCCCTGCCCCTGGCACTGAAAGGGGGCAGCAGCCCAAGAGAGGCGGCGCTCAGAGAGGCCAGGGCTGGCGGGACATGCTCCTGAGAGAAGCCCCATCTCTCTCCCTCCACAGAAACAAAACCAATCTCTTGATAGAGCCACCGCAGTTCCGCTGTGTCCTGGACGCAGCAGCCCGGCTCCCACACCCACCCCGGCCTACCCTGGCTGACGCTACCCACACCTTCTGGTTGCCCAGCCCAATGGCTGCTTTCCAGGCTTTTGACCTCTGTGGCTCTTGAGATTGTGGTCACCATCTTCCAAATAACCTCCTCCCTCCCTGTAACCATCAAGAAGGCAGAGGCCACCTCAGATATTTCAAAGAGCCTTCCCTGAGAGGGGAACCAGCCACACAGGTGTTCAGATGCGGAGGCCCTGTGGCCTGGGGAGAGGGGCCGCTGCAGGGATCGTGTTGGCCTGTGGGTCTCCTAGAGCCATCCTCGGGGCTACACCCATGATGCTGCCACACAAACGGGCCTCCACGCATTCCACTTTCCCACTTCCGTGGTGTCTCTGTTGGCAGCACTGACTTCGAATGCCACCATCAAAGGGGGTGGGGGCTGGACGCCTCCATCGGGAGAGCCCCATGGTCTTGGTGGGCAGCTTCTTCCCTGCGTCACCCTGTCCTCTTGTTCTCCCAGGCGGCGTTGCAGCTGGGCCCTCACTGGGGCATTCCACTGCAAGGGGAGTCTGTGGGCTTCCTTGAGCCTTTCCACCCACCTGGGCAGCCCAGGGCCTCCCTGCCTCTCCCTGTGGGTTTCCCTCCAGGGCTTCCCTCCACCTCGTGGTCATCTCATGTCCATGACTCTCGATGTGTTTCCTTCGCCAGTTCTCGACACAGGACTCCAGGACACGTTCAAGGGTCTACAGGTCACAGTGACTCAACGTATCCAAGCAGAACCCTGCGAATTCCATGACACAGATCCTCTCCACGTCCTGCAGGCCCTCTCCTCTCTGGCCTGGATAATTGTGGGAGCTGTCTCCTCTCCCTTCAGGCCTGTCCTAATGACATGCACTTTCTACTCTGTAGCAACAGTGAGTCCCCCAAACAAGAGTCTGATCATGTCACTCCCTTACTTGATCCCTTCCACAGATAACCATTGTTGTTAAGATAAATTCAGCCCATTTGCAGCAATGGCCTCCCTCTCAGCCGTCCAGCTCACCGTTGACTGGTCCCTGTGGTCTCCCTGTCCATGCTTACTTGTCCCCCGTGGTTCTCCTTCCATCCGTCCAGCTGACCCTTGACTGGTTCCCATGGTCTCCCTCCCACCCATCCAGCTCACCTTTGACTGGTCCCCATGGTCTCTCTGCCCATGCTTACTGGTCCCACATGGTTCTCCTTCCTGTCCATCCAGCTGACCCCTGACTGGCTCCCATGGTCTCCCTCCCGCCCGTCCAGCTCACCCTGGGTGGGCTTCCTGGCCTCTGCACTCTGGCCATGCTGAGCCTCCTTTATCTGCTCAACTCCACATGCCCTTTTCTGGCCCCTCATCTTGGTCTGGATGACCCTTCTCACTGACTTCTCATCATTTAGTTTGTGCTAAAAAACCACTTTCTCCAGGGACCCCGGTTTGGCCCCCGGTTTTGGGTGTGTGTCGCTCCCTGTGAATGCCTGGGCCTGTGCTGCCCCTCACCACTGAGTTATCGCGCCCCACTGTGGCCTTGGGTTGCCTGTGCCATCCGCAGACGGGCAGTACCTGTGGGCACCATTGGGGTCTGTCTTGCCCTCGGCCCTGCACAGACACCTGGCTCGTAGCACTCAGCAGGTGGTAAGGAGTTCTGGGTATTAAGCTCAGAAATGAATGAATGAATAGGAAGAGGGCCAGGTTGTTGAGAATTCTGTTTCGTGTAAGAACAAGGGTGTTTTGTTGTTATTGTTTTTTGTTTCGAGACCAGGCCAAGGTGCTTAGCTCAGGTCTCATCTTCTCCATTAGGTTTTCCTTGAGCTCCTGGACTGAGCAGAGTGCTCTTCCCAGGGGTCATCATAGGACCTCACATAGGCCCTGCCGCAGCCCTTTCAACTTTATATTTGTCCTTCATCAGTGTCATCTATCATCATTATCTATCATATCTCCATGACTTGTCTGTCATCGTTCCATGTATCTATCATTTGTCTGTTTATCTACCGTGCGTCTGTCATCATTATTGTCATCTCTCTGTCTACCCATCCATAGTCTGTGTGAAGCCACATACTCTCCTTCCCTGAGAGGGTTTCTTACTCATTCTTGAAACTTCTAGTCTCCCCCACAGAGCCGATACCCAGTGAATGCTTATCCGTGACAGTCGCCCACATCCTGGGGATTTGCTGTGTTTCAGAGTCTGTCATGTGGGAGAGGAACTCTAGTTTCTGTACGATCCCAATCGATGAGCCAAGATCTAGAGGTAGAAACCACAGGAACGTTCCAGCTGGCAGCAAGCTCCAGACACGGAATGAGCTTCTTCAGGGAGAAGAAGCTGCCCTGCCAGGCGGAGTGCGGAGGAGGCCGCCATTTTCATTTTCAGGCGAGGGAGCTCAGGCCAGCGTGGGGCGCCGGCAGGTGACGCCACGCAGCGCCCCGCCCCGCCCCCTGCTGAGCGCCCCGCCGTGAGGATCCGCTCCAGCCTCTCCTTCCTCTGAGGAAGGCGGTGATGCTGTCTGTGCATGGGTCTGACCCTCTCCTGAGCAGGCCCGGGAGTCCGGCTATCTGTTAGGCCTGGCCCCCAGCCCGGGGCTCACCTGCTGGAGGCACCTTCTGGAAGCTGAAGTTTCCTGCTGCACATCGCTCTGCTGAGGCCCTGTGGGGAGGGCAGCGCCGGTTTTTCAGGCAGCGATAGAAGGGCTAACAATGGGGGGAAGTGCCTCGTTGACCTGCTTTCTTTCCTAGTTATCACTAAGAAAACAGGCTCCGTGGAAGCTGGGGTTATCTCAAAGGCTGCTCCATGAGTGGGGGATGAGGGCGTCCGCTCTCCTGGAAATGCTCAGGTCCGGCCTCTGCCCCAGGGTGAGCCACGGCCCGGGCTGCAGGCTGAGAGAGAGAGGGATTTCACTTCAAATTGAGAGGGGGGTTTTCGTTTTATTTCCGGTCATGAGAACACTTTTCTGACCTCAGGGAAGATCACGTTTTTTGACTCTCCTGTCCTGACACCTTCCTAAAGCCTTGCTCAACTTGCAGATGGACCCTGGGGACTTGGTGCTCAGTTTGCGGATGGAACCCCCTCCCCGTCTGGGGGTTTGGCGAAAACGCAGACTCTTGGGTCCTGCCCTTCCTTCAGGCTCCCAGGGTGGCCAGGCAGGGTCCTGGGACAATCTTGACCCAAACAACCTCTAAGACCTCTGAAGAATTACGGTTGCAGCCCCTCCCCGCTTCCCTGGGCCTCGGGTGGTGAAATCCTACAGATCAAAGGACCAGGGCCTGGGCGCCCCTCCTGGGCACCGCCTGGGGTCGGAGTGCCCTCCCCAGGGACCCTGGTGGCCCAGACGCTGCCCCGCTGTGCATCTGCCTCTGTCCCGGCTCCCTGATCACAGGCGCCTTAGGGCTCGCCCATCACCCGGTGAGGATACACAAGACCTGCTGCAACGTGGCTGCGGAAGCAAGGGGGCTAAGGGTGACGATGATGATGGGGTGACAGTGATGTTGGGGTGATGATGATGATGGGGTGACAGTGATGTTGGGGTGATGATGATGATGGGGTGACAGTGATGTTGGGGTGATGATGATGATGGGGTGACAGTGATGTTGGGGTGATGATGATGATCGGGTGATGATGATGATGGGGTGACAGTGATGTTGGGGTGATGATGATGATGGAGGTGACAGTGATGTTGGGGTGATGATGATGATGGGGTGACAGTGATGTTGGGGTGATGATGATGATGGGGTGACAGTGATGTTGGGGTGATGATGATGATGGGGTGACAGTGATGTTGGGGTGATGATGATGATGGGGTGACAGTGATGTTGGGGTGATGATGATCGGGTGACGATGATGATGGGGTGACAGTGATGTTGGGGTGATGATGATGATGGAGGTGACAGTGATGTTGGGGTGATGATGATGATGGGGTGACAGTGATGTTGGGGTGATGATGATGATGGGGTGACAGTGATGTTGGGGTGATGATGATGATGGGGTGACAGTGATGTTGGGGTGATGATGATGATGGGGTGACAGTGATGTTGGGGTGATGATGATGATGGAGGTAACAGTGATGTTGGGGTGATGATGATGATCGGGTGACGATGATGATGGGGTGACAGTGATGTTGGGGTGATGATGATGATGGAGGTGACAGTGATGTTGGGGTGATGATGATGATGGGGTGACAGTGACGTTGGGGTGATGATGATGATGGGGTGACAGTGACGTTGGGGTGATGATGATGATGGGGTGACAGTGACGTTGGGGTGATGATGATGATGGGGTGACAGTGACGTTGGGGTGATGATGATGATGGGGTGACAGTGACGTTGGGGTGATGATGATGATGGGGTGACAGTGACGTTGGGGTGATGATGATGATGGGGTGACAGTGACGTTGGGGTGATGATGATGATGGGGTGACAGTGACGTTGGGGTGATGATGATGATGGGGTGACAGTGATGTTGGGGTGATGATGATGATGGAGGTAACAGTGATGTTGGGGTGATGATGATGATGGGGTGACAGTGATGTTGGTGTGATGATGATGATCGGGTGACGATGATGATGGGGTGACAGTGATGTTGGGGTGATGATGATGATGGGGTGACAGTGACGTTGGGGTGATGATGATGATGGGGTGACAGTGATGTTGGGGTGATGATGATGATGGGGTGACAGTGATGTTGGGGTGATGATGATGATGGAGGTAACAGTGATGTTGGGGTGATGATGATGATGGGGTGACAGTGATGTTGGTGTGATGATGATGATGGGGTGACAGTGATGTTGGTGTGATGATGATGATGGGGTGACAGTGATGTTGGTGTGATGATGATGATGGGGTGACAGTGATGTTGGTGTGATGATGATGATGGAGGTGACAGTGATGTTGGTGTGATGATGATGATGGGGTGACAGTGATGTTGGTGTGATGATGATGATGGGGTGACAGTGATGTTGGGGTGATGATGATGATCGGGTGACGATGATGATGGGGTGACAGTGATGTTGGGGTGATGATGATGATGGAGGTGACAGTGATGTTGGGGTGATGATGATGATGGGGTGACAGTGATGTTGGGGTGATGATGATGATGGGGTGACAGTGACGTTGGGGTGATGATGATGATGGGGTGACAGTGATGTTGGGGTGATGATGATGATGGGGTGACAGTGATGTTGGGGTGATGATGATGATGGAGGTAACAGTGATGTTGGTGTGATGATGATGATGGGGTGACAGTGATGTTGGTGTGATGATGATGATGGGGTGACAGTGATGTTGGTGTGATGATGATGATGGGGTGACAGTGATGTTGGTGTGATGATGATGATGGGGTGACAGTGATGTTGGTGTGATGATGATGATGGAGGTGACAATGATGTTGGTGTGATGATGATGATGGGGTGACAGTGATGTTGGTGTGATGATGATGATGGGGTGACAGTGATGTTGGGGTGATGATGATGATGGGGTGACAGTGATGTTGGTGTGATGATGATGATGGAGGTGACAATGATGTTGGGGTGACGATGATGATGGAGGTGACATTGATGTTGGGGTGACGATGATGATGGGGTGACAGTGATGTTGGGGTGACGATGATGATCGGGTGATGATGATGATGGGGTGACAGTGATGTTGGGGTGATGATGATGATGGAGGTGACAGTGATGTTGGGGTGATGATGATGATGGGGTGACAGTGATGTTGGGGTGATGATGATGATGGGGTGACAGTGATGTTGGGGTGATGATGATGATGGGGTGACAGTGATGTTGGGGTGATGATGATGATCGGGTGATGATGATGATGGGGTGACAGTGATGTTGGGGTGATGATGGTGATGGGGTGACAGTGATGTTGGGGTGATGATGATGATGGGGTGACAGTGATGTTGGGGTGATGATGATGATGGGGTGACAGTGATGTTGGTGTGATGATGATGATGGGGTGACAGTGATGTTGGTGTGATGATGATGATGGGGTGACAGTGATGTTGGTGTGATGATGATGATGGGGTGACAGTGATGTTGGGGTGATGATGATGATGGAGGTGACAGTGATGTTGGGGTGATGATGATGATGGAGGTGACAGTGATGTTGGGGTGATGATGATGATGGGGTGACAGTGATGTTGGGGTGATGATGATGATCGGGTGACGATGATGATGGGGTGACAGTGATGTTGGGGTGACGATGATGATGGAGGTGACGGTGATGTTGGGGTGACGATGATGATGGGGTGACGGTGATGTTGGGGTGACGATGATGATGGGTTGACGGTGATGTTGGGGTGACGATGATGTTGGGGTGACGGTGATGATGGGGTGACAGTGATGTTGGGGTGACGGTGATGAGGGGGTGACAGTGATGTTGGGGTGACGGTGATGATGGGGTGACAGTGATGTTGGGGTGACGGTGATGATGGGGTGACAGTGATGTTGGGGTGACGATGATGATGGGGTGACAGTGATGTTGGGGTGATGATGATGATGGGGTGACAGTGATGTTGGGGTGATGATGATGATCGGGCGATGATGATGATGGGGTGACTGATGTTGGGGTGATGATGAGGGTGACAGTGATGTTGGGGTGATGATGATGATGGGGTGACAGTGATGTTGGGGTGATGATGATGATGGGGTGACAGTGATGTTGGTGTGATGATGATGGGGTGACAGTGATGTTGGGGTGATGATGATGATGGGGTGACAGTGATGTTGGGGTGATGATGATGATGGGGTGACAGTGATGTTGGTGTGATGATGATGATGGGGTGACAGTGATGTTGGGGTGATGATGATGATGGAGGTGACAGTGATGTTGGGGTGATGATGATGATCGGGTGATGATGATGATGGGGTGACTGATGTTGGGGTGATGATGGGGTGACAGTGATGTTGGGGTGATGATGATGATGGGGTGACAGTGATGTTGGGGTGATGATGATGATGGAGGTGACAGTGACGTTGGGGTGATGATGATGATCGGGTGATGATGATGATGGGGTGACTGATGTTGGGGTGATGATGGGGTGACAGTGATGTTGGGGTGATGATGATGGGGAGACAGTGATATTGGGGTGATGATGGGGGCAACAGTGATGTTGGGGGTGATGACGATGATGGGGCAATGATGGAGGTGATGAAGATGGGGGTGACAGTGATATTGGGGTGATGATGGGGTGACAGTGATGTTGGGGTGATGATGATGATGGGGTGACAGTGATGTTGGGGTGATGATGGGGAGACAGTGATGTTGGGGTGATGATGATGATGTGACAGTGATGATGTGGGCAATGATGATGGGGGTGATGATGATGGGGGTGACAGTGATGAAGGCGATGGTGGGTGATGATGGGGAATGGTGGTAATAATGGGAGTGATGATGATAATGGCAGTAATGATGGGGGTGATGGGGAGGTGAGGGTGTAGGGCCTCCCACCAACAGGGGAAGGAACATCTGGTCTGAGGTTCACATATTGCAGGGGCTGTATTAAGTGTTGCTTCAACACAATGAGGTAAACGCCCAGGTCCCAAGGCACCAAGACCGGGTCCTCTGGGCCTTCCCCAGTCGCCCTGAGGCCACTTGCTGCCATCCATCCAAACAGTAGGCCTGGCTTGCCTGCTTCCCAGGGTTCCTCATCTCCCAGGCAAGAGGGGTGGCACGGATTCTATAAATAAATAAATAGCGTAAAATTCAACCCAGTAGGAGGCCTGCAAAGCCCTCAGGGTGTGGCCCTTGCTGCCCATCCCCTTCTACAGCTACACTGGCCTTTTCTTCGGCCGGGACACCACAAACGCACTCCCACCCCAGGGCCTTTGTGCCGCTGCCCCATTGCAATGCTTGGCCACAGAGGTCCCCGCAGCCAGCTCCGTGCAGGACCCGTAGTTCCCAGCTCTGGGGCCACTTTGTTAGGGGCCTTACTTCATCCACTTAAGGCATTGTAGAAACACAGACTAGAAGGTTTTAGTCACATACATATCCTGGCTCGATAAGCATTTTATATAGAAGCCCTGGGTGGACATGTTCCAAAACAAGGGCATGGTTTTACTCAGCACCTTTGAATCTTTGATGACTCCAGGCTCTGGTAGGAGCCAGGAGGAGATGTCAGGTCTGAAGCTGAACCCGTGTGGTCGTGGCAGCTCTCCCCACGTGGGTTTCCCAAGGCGCTCAGGCTCTGAGTTGTTCTTCCAGTCTGTAATGTGGTACAAAGGTAGGAGGCATCTCAAAGGATGAACAGAAGTAATGTAATAAGCCCTTAGCCTGAGGCCCGGCACGTAGCGGGCAAGCTGTGAACTCCGACTGCGCCACCGTATTCCGGACATGCTGTGATCGTCGGGTGGGGGCGGATGTTGAAGCATCAGTGGCCTCTGTCTGGTTAGCGACGCTGCACCTCCTGACCCCTTTCTACTCCCTCAGGCTTGGTCCTTCCCTGGGCCCCGTTAGCTTCACTGTGAGTGCCTCCCATTCATCCAGGCATCCGTGTCCCACGCAGAGGTCCCCATGACAGTGAGGACTTACGTCTTTTAAACTGCAGTTCCCGTAGTCCCTGGAGCGGTGCCTGGCATGTCGTGGGCTCAATAAATAATCATTGAATAGATGAATAATTGAATCAATGAAGAGAGAAAATGGCCTAAGCTGAAGCCACATCAGTGTGGCCATGGAGTGAGGGGCAGGGGGAGGTTCTGCCAGCCCTGAACCCTTCTCTTTGCGGGGCAGCCTTCGTACACCACATCTCTTTTGAGTCTGTTTTCCTGGGGGGGTTGATAATTCCTTCAGAACATTACTGGGGGGCACTGTGGAGTGTTAACTTGTGAATGGAAGTGTTTCTTGAGTGGAGCAGCTGGAGGAATTCTGAGATGGCCCATGACTGCCGCCCTGGTGTGCACACACTTCCTCCCAGCTGTTCACCAGGATTCCAGGGCGGCTGGGAGGGCTTGTTATGGGGTTAAGATCCCAAAGCAGTTGACCTTACGGTAGGGAGATAATTGGGGGACCCGGCCTAATCACACGGACCCTCTAAAAACGATTTTCTCCACCTGCAGGCAGGCGGCCTCCAGGAGCTAAGAGTAGGAAGGAGCATAGAGACCTCTGTCCTGCAACTTCCAGAAGAAAATTCCCCCAGCAATTGGGAGCTGAAAAGTGGCCCTCAGCCCATAGAAGTCTCACAGCCCTGGCCGGTGCCATGAATTCAGCCTGCTAAGACCCGAAAGTGAAGTTGCAACATGCCCAGGCCACTGACCTGTGGAAACTGAGCTGAGGGTTGGTGCTACTCTCAGCGCCTGTGCTCATGGAAATTTGTTATTCAGCAACAGGAAATTAGTGCAAATAGAAAAGGCTGCCTCAAACATGGTCATGGACACTGCCATGTTCCAGCCCCAGGAATAAGACACAAATGGTTCTCGTGAGCGCTCGGCCGTCCATCAAAGCAAGCCTTGATTCCACACAGGAGAGAAATCTGATGACTCAGGCCCTGGGGCCTTTTGGGTTCAGGATAATCGTGAGTTTGTTATACTGAATTTCTTAACAGGAGTTTAATGAACAAGTTCCCTGTTTTGAATTCCAGTTCCATTTATTAGTCAGGGTGAAGGGAGGCTGCTGTAACAAGGAGCCCCACTACACCGTTGCTTAAAATACAGGCCTGCGCCCACCTCCTCCTGCAGGGGCACCAGGCAGGCGGCCCTCCCCGTCCCCCGTGGCAACTGTCTCCAGGCCGCGCTTGGCAATAGCGGGAAATAAAATGACGAAGGTTACTCCTCCTCCTCCTCAGTGCACCTCTTCCTGGGGATTAAAACAAGGACCTCAGATGTCTACACTACAGACGGTGGGGTTGCCTTGGGCCCTACTCCAATTAGGTCTAGAATGCACTGCATGGTCAGAGTGGGCTGGAGCTGCAGGAGGGGCAGGGCCAGCACCAGCATGCAATTGGTGAGGGGAGGGCTTCAGTGCTGGGCGGGCAGCCTCCTCTGGGACCTGGCTATAGTGGGCCAGCCTGGTGGTGAGTTTGTGTCTGACATGGGCTCTGCCACCTGCCAAGTGTCTGATCTGAGGACAAGTGGTGCTTTCTGGGCCTCAGTGTCTTCATCTGCAAAACGGGACCGTGAGACCACACCTGACTGCCAGGGTTGTTAGTGGACAGGCCTCAAAAGGTTGCCTGGCACATGCCGGGCGTGCCCTAAACCAGCATCCAGGGCAGTGCCGCTCACCAGAAGCCGCAGGACCTGTGTATGGAGCTAGTTCAGTCGGTGACCTGCTGAAGGAGTGTGGGGCACGGGGGCCGCGGATTCTGAACACACCTCATCCTTACAGTGATGACGGCAGGGTGCCTGCTTATTAGCAGCTTTAGCCAATTTGCAGTTTATCTTGGTGCTCACCCAAACAGGCTGCAAACCGAGACAAACACACTTTGAGGTCATCACCCCATGACTCAGAACATTTTCCTGATGGTTTCCGTGCTGAGGAAAGAAAAAGAAGGCCTTGAAATATTGCCAGTGGAAAAGGTTTGTGTGTGCAGCTGATGGCAGATGGTGGGTTCTGGCAGCCTGGCTGGTAAGCCCCTGGCATCGGGTCTGTGCTGGTCACTCATGTGCCCGGGAAGCCCAGGATGTGGGGGTCTGTGCTGGTCACTCAGCTTCCTGGGAACCCAGGGTGTGAGTGTCTGCGCTGGTCACTCATGTGCCCGGGAAGCCCAGGATGTGAGGGTCTGTGCTGGTCACTCAGTTGCCCTGGAAACCCGGGGTGTGGGGTCTGCGCTGGTCACTCAGCTGCCCGGGAAGCCCACGGCATGGGGGTCTGTGCTGGTCACTCTGTTGAAGCTCTTCTTCTTTTCAATTTGGGGGATGTGAGGCTCTGTCCCACCTCCTGGCCTTGTTCTAGTTGTTGACAGAATGGTTAGCTTTGAAAATCAGGCAGAGTACTTTAGGCAACTTCCATGGTAAAAGAGGTTCATTTTCTCCCACACCCCATGGGGCCAATTCCTTTGAAATCTAAAGAGCAGAAGGAGAGAAGGGAAGGGAGCCGTGCTCTGATGCTGCTTGCCGCTGTTTCTCTCATGGGGGACACACTTTTTTCCTTGCTCCAAGACTCACTTTTCATCCCCATTCAGGTTCCGGGAGCTCTCCTAGGTGTTGGAAAAGCCATGGTGAGCACACACTGCTCGCGCCATCCTGGAGAGGAACCTCCAGCCAGAGAAGCCAACATGCGCACGACGCACACACCACAGAGAAGGCACAGATGAGCGCACACAATGCACACACCACACCACGGTGGAGCTGACGGTGGCAGGGAAGGCACAGATGGGCGCACACAATGCACACACCACACCACGGTGGAGCTGACGGTGGCAGGGAAGGCACAGATGGGCGCACACGACGCACACACCACACCACGGTGGAGCTGACGGTGGCAGGGAAGGCACAGATGGGTGCACACAATGCACACACCACACCACGGTTTTGCCCCCTGCACCTTCTATCCTGAGGATGTTGTCAACAGGGCTAACAGACTCTGACTTCCGCACCAATGACTCCTAGTCCCTCAGTGATGAATTTGAATGCTCTGCAGCGGCTCTGTCCAGCTGATTGACCTGGGGTCAGGAAGAAGACAGGCAAGGGCCAGGCTGTGGCCTCGGTGTTGGCAGATGCGTTTCTGGGTGGAAAAGCTGCACAGCAGACACCCCAAGCCGGGAGTCAGGAGTTATTAGGAAGAAGTCCTCTGGGACAGCATGTGGGGGCCTGGCCCGCTGCATTCCCCACCCTCCACAGAGAGGCTTTGGTGTTGTTTCCAAGCCCTGCTCCAAGGTGGCTCTAGAGCCTGCACCTTCAAATGCACCCTGGGCAGACCATACCATCTCTGCGGGTGAGCTGGGCTGTCCCCTCCACTGGGTCAGAGACGCTGTCCTCCCGCAGAGGATGTGCAGGGAAGGAAAGGCTTTGGGAAGGTCCCCCGGTCTGGGCTCAAGCCAGGCCAACCATCCTACAGAGACAGGAAACCTGGAGCTTCCCACAGCAGCCCAAAGTTCCAGGGGAGGGGAGGCAGGGAAGACGTCCAGCCCACATAGCACGCACTTGCACACGCACACACCTGCACACCCACACACACATCCATGTGCACATGTGCACACACTTGCATACCTGTGTACACATGCACATACGCCTGCACAAACACACCCCTGTACACACAGGCACATGCACACACCTGCACACATGAGCACACACCTGCGTACCTGCACACACACACCTGCACACACATGCACACGTGCACACACCTGCACCACACATGCATACACACAGGCACACACATCTACACACACACCTGCACATGCACACACGCACATCTGCCTAAACATGTCCATGCACACGTGTGCACACACACAAACTAAAGGAAACACTGTTCTCTGGCTTCATCTTAGTGGTCTCTGTGTGGCACAGACATGCTTGCACGTGGAGGCTTTGCTGCACAAAGGTGAGAAGGAGACATCTGCCCATGGGGAGACATGAGCTCAGCTGCAGGCCAGGGGCACAGGGCTCAGGGGGATGTGTGCCAGGAAGGATGGCCCGGTCTGGCCTGGGGCTCTTGGAGGTTGAGGGATGTGGACTTTCTTTCAAGGGTAGAGGGGAGGGCCTCTGGGGGCCATGGATCTGGCATGGGGTGATGGGCTCGGACATTTAGATGTGAGTCAGGAGCATCTGCTGTGCAAGATCCCAGCTGAACCCAGGCTGGGCCAGGGCAGCAGGAAGCAGTGGAGGAAGGGGCATGACAGGCTCTCAGAGGGTATTGGCGGGCTTTTCCTTCTCGTGTCTGCCTGATGAAAGACAACGCCATCCTCAGGGGCCTCCTTGACTGAGAGTGGAGGGTGTCTGGCCACCTGGGGGCAAGTGTTCTGGGGTGCAGTGTGTTTGGATGTGAACCTGCTTCCCGACTGGAAGGGGTCAGGGAGTGAGGCTGGGGAGACGGGAGCAGGGGATGGGAACTGGACCTTGTGCAGGACATTAGGAGAAACAGGGGGCAGTGTCTTGGGAGACCCCACCTGGTGCTCAGGGAACACAGTGCAGGGTGCCCCAGGTGCCTTGGGAGATGGAGGACAGAGGATAAGCCGTGGTGGCCACTCTTGAGCCAAGCAGCAAGGGGTGGGGCAGGGCTGGCCATCGCCAGGGGCCCTGGGGACCGGGGCACATTGGACATCTTCTCTGGCCCTGAGTCTGTGCTGAGCAGGGATCTGTAGAGATTGGTTGACTATTGCGCTAAAACTCAGTTTTATGCTCCGAACACTTGGTCAGTTAAACTTCACAATTGCTGTCATTTTTGTAAGCATCGCCTGACTGCAGGAATGCAGCAATCCCACACATGACATGTCCTTCCCAGTCCACCGCAGCTTTCTCGCCGGGAGGGCCATTGCAGATGTGGACACACAGCAAACAGGTCTGAACGCAAGCAATGGAGATGGGACCAAGTCATCTTCTGAGAGGGGAACCTTCCAGAAAGTTGAGGGATCTTCTGAGTTGAAGTCCCCAGGGACTGTGACAGCCCAGAGCAGGTTGCACCCTGGAGGCAACAAGGACTGTGGTCTCAGCCATTGCCAGGTTGCTGACTTGAAAAATGAAGACACTTAGCACATGGTTCTAGTTTCACGCGTATATCTTGA
Organism: Homo sapiens; assembly: GCF_000001405.40. NCBI lineage: Eukaryota > Metazoa > Chordata > Mammalia > Primates > Hominidae > Homo > Homo sapiens. Next base: position 186,449 of record NT_187552.1, read on the forward strand.
TGTGCTTCCACAGGAACAGTCATTTAGGAAATTTTATACTCTAACATTTCACAAACACTGGAACTCCACCCTGGCAAGGGGCCGTGCTCTGCAGGCTGGCAGAGCATGTGTCTGCGCGTCTGTCCAGCCACCCCGTGACCCCACATGGGCTGTGCTCACACTTTCTCTCAAGCGACAATGACCCATTTGTAGAATGATTATCTTTTCCTAAGACTAAAATGTCCCATTTATAAATATAATTGGTCTACTTTTAAGAAAATTTTACCTGGTTTTACTTTAAGAAAGACTCTGGGATTCTGTGTGTCATTACAATAATTGTCTTTATTTTATTTGCAAATATCATATTTGACGCAAAGGAATGCTGTAACACACATGTTTGCACATCGCGATGAAGGCCCCAGGAAACCCTCCCTCTGAGGATAGGACAGGACTGGCACCCCCATGCCTGCCTGCCTGCCTGAGCCCCGCTGGGTCCCACACCAGGGACCCACGCCTGGACTTGGTGCCATGATCTCATTGCTTTAAAAAATGTTTATCACATTTGTGTATTTGCTGAACAACATGTCGTTGTTTTGGTTGGTTTTCAGCTTTGAAAAATGGTATCACACTACCTGTTCTCGTCCAGAGCTTGTCACATTTCATGAGTCACCGATTTAACTCTGCATGGCTGTAGTTTGTTCATCTTCACCACTGTGTACTACTCCACGATGGACCACATCACAGCTCCCTACTTCCTCCTCCTGCCAGTGGACTCTGACGTTGTTCCCAGGACTTTGCCATTGCAAACGGCACTGGAGTCACCTGTTGTTGATTTTCTGCCTGATCATCTGTCTTTTTCTTATTTTGTTTTTTTTTTTAAATTTTTAATACTTTTATGATGGGCATATTTATACATATTCAAAAGGAAAGAAAACATCACAGTGAATCCCTGGACCAGAGCTGGCTGCGCAATCACCTGCATGTGGACCCTTGTTTTGTCTGTTCCTCTGTCCACTTACCCCTCCTGCCGGGATTATTTTGAACCAATGAATTTTTAATATATTCTGGATGTTAATATTTTGTTATGTGGTTGCAAACAGCAGCTAGTTCATGTCTAATCCTTTTCATCTTTTGCCGCACAGGAGTTCTCAATTTTAATGTCGTTCCACTTATCCATCTTTTTGATGATTAGCATTTTTTGTGTGTGTTTAAGAAATAATTTCCCTTCCTAAACTCAGATGTTTTTCTCATTCTAAAATTCAAAAGGTTTTTCACATTTAAGTCGTGACTTACGTGGAGTTGATTAATGTGTAAGGCGTAAGGATGTGATCTCATTGGACCTTTTCACATGAGCCCTCCCCAGCCGGCAGCATCACACTTCCACTGGCAAAGGGTCTGTGCACGCACACGCGGGGCTGCTTTTGGACTCTGCCTTGTTCCCCTGGTCAGTTTGCTCATTGCTGGGCCGATGTCATGCTGCCTTACCTTCATAATAAGTTTTGACAGGAATTACACTTTTTGGGAGTTTCTTAGATATGTCTGGCACGTTGTTCTTCCATACAGATTGTAGAATTATTTTTTCTAATTTCATGAAAACCCCTGTTAGGATTATGATTACAACTGCACCAAATCCAGAGGCCAATTTAAGGAAAACAGTCACCTGCATCAGGTTGAGCTTCTCTGTGTCTCTGGCTATAAACAGGAGCTCTCTCTCCATTTGCTTAGGTTTCCTGTTATGTCTTTTGACAAAATTTTATAATTTTCTGCGTTAGGTCTTATGCAACTTTCTAAGGATTTATTTCTGGGTCACATAGTTTTTGTTGCCGTTATAAATTTTTGTTTGTGTGTTTGTTTGAGAAGGAGTCTTGCTCTGTCGCCTAGGCTGAAGTGCAATGGCGCGATCTTGGCTCACTGCAACCTCAGCTTCTCAGGTTCAAGGGATTCTCCTGCCTCAGCCTCCCGAGTAGCTGGGATTACAGGTGTGTGCCACCACACCTGGCTAATTTTCAACAGAGATGGGGTTTCACCATGTTGGCCAGCCTGGTCTTGAACTCCTGACCTCAGGTGATCCACCCGCCTTGGCCTCCCAAAGGGCTGGGATTACAAGCGTGAGCCACCACACCCAGCCATAAATTGTATTTTTTTTAAAGTCAGGTTTTCTAAGTCTTGTTGCTGCTGTATGTGTGCAATTTATTTTTATACATTGATCTTAGAGCAGGCACCTTGTAGACTATGTATTTATAATAACTTTTCTGAGGTCTTTAGTTTTACATAGGCAATCATATTGTCTGCAAGCAATGAATGTTTGCTTCTTCCTTTTCGATTCTTAAGGCTTGTATCTTAAACATAATGTGCGTGCTGGGTGATTTTGAATACAAATGGTGATAGTAGAAATCCTTGTCTTTTTCCTGACTCCAAAGCAGATGCTTTTAAATTCTGCACAACACCGATTGACTTTGAGATCCATTCCTGTGTTCAGACGCTTGAAGGATGTCTAGGATCTCCTAAATGCTGGGGAAGGGCAGAGGGGAGACGGAATTAAGGGGAGGTCACTCAGGTTGGTTCGTTCCGGGCCTGCCTTTTGCTGGGCAGGGAGAAGGAGGTCCCATGCTCTCACTTGAGTTGGTTTCCTGATCAATTTCAGAAATTTCCTCCATTTTAGGGCAAAAGAAACAGAAGGGCGGGAGAAAATCGTAGGCACTGCTTCTCTGGAACATTCCGTAGTTGGTCACTTCCTTAGTTGATGCCGAGAAGTTTGTGGACAAGTGAGGAGCTTGGAAAGGGCTCCCAAGAGGCCGGCAAGGCTGTGGAGAAGCAGGGTGGGACAAGAGGCTCTTGGCGGCAGGAAAGTTTCAGGCACAGCCCCCCTCAGCCTGGCCCCAGAGTCAGCTGGTCAGGCTCGCTAGGGGAGGGAGATCTCCACGCTCTTGTCCACCCAAACACTGGCCGCAGGGACACTGGCCTGGGGGTCCTAAGTTCCCGACGCTGCTGATGTGGGCAGCACACGGCTGCTGAGGTGCAGCCCAGGCCAGGTGGCACGAGCAGGGTGCTGGCATCTGGAGATGGGCCGGTCTCAGCGGGGCTTGCTGTGGCCACAGTGCCGTCAGGTTTCTTCCCGTGAGAACTCACTGCAGACTCACAGATTTGAACACATTTGTAGGCCTGGGCGGGGGGCTCTGCAGGTTTGCTATTCCTGCAACCGTCTTGGTGATATGGGAGTGCTGGGCAGAGGAGGGAGTGGCCCCTGGCCACCCCCACGGACCTAGGTGAGGACAGGCACTCTGGCCTTCCTGCTCAAATGTTGCACTTTCCAAGACCACCCTGGCCCCCTACACCCCCATCCTGAGCCTGTGAAAACCAAGACCCTAGTGGGCAGACACAGAGAAGCAGCTGGACGTCGTGAGGAACCCGTCGGTGGAAGAAGACACAAGCGGTGGGTCGTCGAGAGCACGCGGGCAGAAGAGCACGCTGCCAGGCACCAGCAGGCCATCGACTGTGGAATGACGCGGAGTTCGGCCTGAGAGGTCGGAGGAGAGTCAGCGGCCGGACTCCAGGGAAAACCACCTCCCTTCTGGCTCCCCCATCTGCTGAGAGCTACGTCTACTCAATAAAACCCTACACTCATTCTCCAAGCCCACGTGTGATCCGATTCTTCTGGTACACCAGGGCAAGAAACTCCAGGATACGGAAAGCCCTCTGTCCTTGTGATAAGGCCAGGGTCTAATTGAGGTCGTTAACACAAGCCGCCCATAGACAGAAAGCTAACAGAGCACCCTGGAACACACGCCCACTGGGGCTACCCCTGTGAACATTCCCCCCTGGACACTGCCGTGGAGTCGGAGCCCCAAGCCTGCCCATCTGTCTGCTCCCCTTGAGGTTTGCACAGTGGGACACTGAAGAAGCGAGCCACTCCCCCATCGCACATCTGTGAAGGGGACGAGGGAACCTTTCCCGTTTCATTGGGAATCTTTGACCTGACAGGATGTTCCAGGCTCATGTGGAGCATTTTCTACCCTGGACCTGGAATTAGCCACTTTCTGGAGTCCTGGCTTCTTTTCGTGGAAAGGAAGTTTAGGTTCCAACGCAGGCTCTAGGAATGTGTGTTCTTAATAGGGTGGCCTTATTTCTAGCTTCTTTCAACAGATAGACCTGAGAAATGCATTTTCAAATTCAAGACTTAACATACTGTATCTTCTGTTTCTTCTTTCCGTGCCCAAAATGCTGCTTCCCCATGACGCAACATAATTACTCATGCTCTCTCTTCCCTTATGTGTGCAATCGTCCTAGAATAAAACACCAGAACCAATAATGTGATTCCCACAGCAGGTTAAGGGTTTTTCACCTCTTCTTGATCTTATGCTATGCATGTTCCACTGGGTAATTTCTATGTTCTGAAGTCACTTGAGTTTGTCGCTGTGTGGTTGTGTGAGTCGATGCAGGCTTTTGGGGAAGGAATCCGGTAGAATCGACTGAAATTGAAAACACACTCGTCACTTCAGCAGCTTCTCTCCAGGAGTCTGCACTGCACTGCATTCTGCAGGGGAGAACATGGGTGCATGAGGAAAGATGCACGTGGCCTGGCAGACAGATGGGTGTTTACCGCACTATCTGCCCTCCCCTCAGAGACTAAGCCAAGTGGTGGCTGACTGGTTGTGGCTCATCTGTGGATGGTTCTGTGGCTGTTTCAGACACCATGCATCTGTACCAGCTCCTTGGAACCATTTTCTTGAGTGAGGAAAGGAAAAGAGGCAGTAAAAATTATGTGGTGGTGAGATCCTGTATCTGAAACAGTGACATGATTGCCTCATGTATGAGCACAGATAATTGCACAGGATTCACTGGAGCGGGAGACGCTCGGAAGGACACATGCCTTGTGGTTTATATCTGGGGTGGGGGAGAGGAGGGGAAGGGAGGGGCAGGAAGCAGCTGGCCAAAAAAGCCTTTTATATTGTATTATTTTTTATTTTTTGTTTTTTTTTGTGGGTTAACAGGCATTTTCTTTTTTAAAAATTTTAAGTTTGGGGGTACATGTGCAGGATGTGCAGGCTTGTTACATAGGTAAACATGTGCCATGATGGGTTGCTGCATAGATCATCTCATCACCTAGGTATCAAGCCCAGCATCCATTAGCGATTCTTCCTGATGCTCTCCTTTCCCCTCCCCCACCCCCCACAGTCCCCAGTGTGTGTTGTTCCCTGCCATGTGACCCTGTGTTCTCATCATTCAGCTCCCCCTTATAAGTGAGAACATGCAGTATTTGGTTTTCTGTTCCTGTGTTAGTTTGCTGAGGATGATGACTTCCAGCTCCATCCATGTCCCTGCAAAGGACATGATCTCCTTCCTTTTTATGGCTGCATAGTATTCCATGGTGTACGTGTAGCATGTTTTCTTTATCTAGTCTATCATTGAAGGGCATTTAGGTTGATTCCGTGTCTTTGCTATTGTAAATAGTGCTGCAGTGAACATAGCACGCATGTATCTCTATAATAGAATGATTTATATTCCTTTGGATATATACCCAGTAATGAGGTTGCTGGGTCGAATGGCATTTCTGTCTTTAGGTTTTTGAGGAATTGCCGCACTGTCTTCCACAATGGTTGAACTAGTGTACACTCCCACCAACAGTGTAAAAGTGTTCCTTTTTCTCCCCAACCTTGCCAGTATGTTATGTTTTGACTTTTTAGTAATAGCCATTCTGACTGGCATGAGATGTTATCTCATTGTGGTTCTGATTTGCATTTCTGTAATGATCAATGATGTTGAGCTTTTCTTCATATGTTTGTTGGCTGCATGTATATTTTTTAAAGAAGAGTCTGTTCATGTCCTTTGCCCACTCAAAAAGGCTTTTTAGAAAAGACTGGCCCTGAGAAAAACTTCACATGTGATCCCATCCCATTGATGTAATAATTGGTGTGTGCAGATGTATAAAATGACAGTCACCAACATTTTAACTGTGGGCACTGCAGGGTTCTGGGTTTTTAGTGATTTTTCTTTCTTTAAAGGAAGGTTGGAATTTTTTTTTTTTTTGAGATGGAGTCTTGCTCTATCGCCCAGGCTGGAGTGCTGTGGTGTGATCTCTGCTCACTGCAACCTCCACCTCCCAGGTTCAAGCAATTCTCTGCCTTAGCCTCCTGAGTAACTGGGATTACAGGCACTCACCACCATGCCCTGCTGATTTTTTTGTATTTTTCGTAGAGATGGAGTTTCACTATCTTGGCCAGGCTGGTCTTGAACTCCTTCGTGATCCACCCGCCTCAGCCTCCCAAAGTGCTGGGATTACAGGCATGAGCCACTGTGCCTGGCTGGGCGGTTGGAATTTTTATACCAAAAATGTGCTTTAAAAATTACTTATTAGGAAAAGAGCAATACGGCTATTTTACTGTGGGGAAAAACAAGACCTGCAATGAGATGAGGTCTGCGGGCTGCTCGGCCGGCCTGTCCTGGACACGCCTCGTAGCAGGGAATCAGGGGCAGGTAGGCAGTGACATGAGGTACTGTGGCCCCAGCTCTGCTCTGTGGGGGGTCACGATGGAGAGCTTCAGGCATTGGTGTGGCTTGGTTAGCAGGGCTCAGGCCAAAATGTTTCAGAAACGGTGTCTCAAGTTATATAAGAGCAACTGTGTGCCAGGACCAGCCTGGGACAATGCCCGCTCTTGCTGGTGTCTGGACATTCTTTGCCCTTCCCAGGGAGGACCCAGATCCCTGTTCCTCTGGCATCTCGCCTGCCTGGCTTAGGAAGAGGGCAGAGCATTGTCAGGTTTTCCTGTCTTCTCGGCCTTTGAGAAAAACTACTCTTCAGTGGGAAGTGTTTTCCTAGGCTTTATTTGGCGGCGTGCTGGGGAACTTTTAAATTACTGCCTTCCTTTACCGTCACGTAATTCTTGTATTAATGCTTCTTGTGCAAAAAGAAAGGGAAGCTGCTACCGTGCTTTATTAGGGCTTTCCAGGTGGTCCAGGTTTTTAAAATCCCATTTCCATAGATTAACTTATGAGTAATGAAAACAACCACTGTGCACATAATAAAATTGATGATTATTTAATGCAGATGATTAAAAAATGCCCACTTTGATCACCACTGAGCTCAGTGGAATAAGGAGAAATGTGAATCTTTCTGAGGTGTTAGTATTTATTTCCAAGCCACAACGAGTGCCACTGCTGTGTTCTCAATAGTGTGCAGGGCTACGTCTTGATCAGTTTTCCAAAATGAACACGTTTGTGAAACACCCCATCAGTCGTGCGCGTGGTTCCATCTGGTGCCCTCAGCAACCCTGTTGGTTAAAGAGTTGAAGTTCAGAGAGATTAAATGACACCTCTAAAGATGAACAGTCAACAAAGAACTGAGCTGAAATCAGGGTTAACTGTTTTAAGTAAATATCCGGTGCTTTCCCCACAGGAATGGGTGGCTTTTCACTTAATCAACCAAATGGCCTTGGTTTGAGCCCATCTTAATGGCTGTGAACTGTATGGAAAATGGATGTTGTGGAATTCAGTTAGCCCCACCTTCCTTCCTGGCCCCTCCTGCTGTGGCCGAATTCTGTTAATTGCAACTAAATTTTGTTCTCCAAGTGCCGGCCATGAACAGCCTTGTCTTAAAAGCAAGGCCAAGATGGCACATCGCCAGCGGTCAGCGGCAGCATTTATAGGTGTCGTCCTGCAACGGGCTTGCTGGTCACGCTGGCGCTGTGTAACACGCACGCTCACCTTGCACCGTCTGTCATGAAATCCTGGCGCTATCACATGCTCCTTCCTTGCCTTACATGTGCGCATTTATGCTGAGTTTGGAAAGGAGCTGCCATTTGTTCCAGCAGGAGTCAGCCAGGTCAATCTCTGGGAGGCCCAGATAAAGCCGTTTGCCTGGCGCATGGAGGGCTGGAGACAAACAGCCCTCGGAAAGATAATGGGTTTGCCTGACACTGGGCCTGTGAATCATAACAAGATCCAAGGACTGGAGCAAGTCCAGGAATTGGCAACATCACTCGTTCATCACCACACTTCAAAGCTCAGAGTGCAGACTACCTGAAGTTAAATTAATCAACTCTTAACTCACCAAAAATCACCTCCTTTTACTTACTCTTCAAAATAGAGGAAAGAAAAATTTTATAAAAACAAATGATAAGCACAAAACTCAGGTTTTAAACTACCTCTTCTGAGACAGAAACAGCAAAGGAAGAAGTGAAAGGTGCCCACCCTCCATGGGTAGCCCACATTTCATTGCTGGTGATATGGTGGGGATCCTACTTAGCCTGACAACCTGACATACTCTCTGTGCTTAGGAATTCATAGTGTGGTATTTTAGATTCCAAATCACAATCACTGGTGAGGACATTTAGAGAAGTCCCTGAGGTTAAATACAGCAAAAGAGGCAAAACCCAATGTGGATCAGGAGCCGTACATGTGCCTGTGTATAGGCATGTGTGTGTGCCTTTGCATATACACATGTATGCATGTGTTTGCTCGTGTGTGCGCCTGTGTGTATGCATGTGTACATGTGTGTTTCCATGGGTATTTGTGTGCATGTGGCTGCACACTTGTGTGCCTGTGTGTGTGCATGGGTACATGTGTGTTTGCATGGGTATTTGTGTGCATGTGCCTGCATACGTGTGTGCCTGTGTGTGTGCATGGGTACATGTGTGTTTGCATGGGCATTTGGTGTGCATGTGTATGTATGTTTGCATGCATGCACACACATGCATAAGGGCATGCATACACATGCCTGCACACATGTGTGCCTGTATGAGTGCCTGTGTGCATGTGACTGTGCTTATGGGGACATGTGTTTGCCTGTGCAGGTGTGACAACGTGTGTTTTATGTGCATGTGTTTTGCATGCCTGTGTGCACATATGTGCATGTTTGTATTTAGGTGCACATGTGTTTTGTGTGCATGTGTGGGCGTATGTGCATTGTGCACATGACTATGTGCCTATGGGCACGAGTGTTTGCATGTGCACATATGTGCATGCCTGTGTGCACATATGTGCATATATTTGTGTGTACATGTGTGCACAGGTTTGCCTGTGCCCATGTGCATCTGTGCGTTATGTATTTGCATGTTCATGTGTGCAAGTGTATTTGCATGTGTGCATGGTGGGTGCATATGTACATGTATGTGCATGCACATGTGTCCCTGAAAGTGGACTATATTCAAGCTGCTCTTACATAGGCCAGTAGAGGTTATCCTGGCTTCTGGGCCAGGGCAAGTCAAACAGCTTTGATGACCACAAGCTGCCCCTCCCCTGCCAGGGCCAGAACAGATTAAACCCAGAGCTCATGATGCCAATCTGTGTTCAGTTGCAGGTTGGTATTATAGGCAAGCAGCACTTAAATAACCTAAATCGTCAGAAATTACAAAATAAATGTTCTGTGCCTGGTAACGGTGAGCAATTTATCTGACATTTGATTCCAGTTTGCCATTTACAAGGTAATTTCACAGGTCTCCTCTGTTGTCCCAATCAGACTGGGAGTAGAGCTCCATGAAGCAGGAGGCTCAAATCACTCGAGAGAGACCAAGGACCCCAAGGAAACAACCTGTCCTCCTGCAGGAAGCTGACCTGGTGTGACCTCTGTGTGACCAGTGACCCGAGCCCTGTGGTCTATGGGGTAACATCTGCCTGACCAGGCTCTCTGAGCCCTGTGGTCTGTGGGGTGTCATCTGCCTGACCAGGCTGTCCAGAGGGTTCCAGAAGAACCCTGACCTTGAAGACTGCAGCTCCCTGTTCCGGCTGGCAGGTGACGGAGCGATGGTGCAGACACCCATGCGTGCTCTTGGATGTTTAATGGAAACATAGACCGGGACAGGCCAGGGGCACAGAGGGGAGAAAGCGCAGTCTGTGTCCTGGACGGTGGCCAGGAGGCAGAGACAGGAACGCTGATGCAGATCATAGCGTGTGTCATTGAAACACACAGCTGTGCCTGCTAGCCCAAGACACAGGAGGGTCTGAGTCAGTCAAAGTGAGGAGGTCAGGGCTGGAATCCCAGAGGAGAGCATTCTCGTTCCGAGATTTTAGGAAAAAGTGGAGTTAACAGCCAGAGAAATGTTGAGGTCTAGGTGGGTTGGAGGGCTTCTAGACTCACAATGGGGTGTGTGGCGTGAGAGTATGAGGTCATAGCCTGTTAGGGAAGCCACGTGGCAGCCAATGACGAAGCGTGTGTGCAGGCATGTGTGTGTGCGTGTGTGTAGGTGTGTGCAGGCACGTGTGTGTGCATGTGTGTACGTGTGTGCAGGCAGGTGTGTGTACGTGTGTGTGCAGTCACATGTGTATACATGTGTGCAGGCACGTGTGTGTGCGTGTGTGTACGTGTGTGCAGGCAGGTGTGTGTGTATGTGTGTGCAGTCACATGTGTGTATACATGTGTGCAGGCACGTGTGCGTGTGTTTGCGTGTGTGCAGGCACGTGTATGTGTATATATGTGTGCAGGCATGTGTATGTGTATATATGTGTGCAGGCACGTGTGTGTGTGCGTGTGTGCAGGCACGTGTGTACGTGTGCATGTGTGCATGTGTGTGCATGTGTGTAGGCATGTATGTGTATACGTGTGTGCAGGCGTGTGTGTAAGTGTGTGTGTATAGCAATCTGTAGTCCATGAGTAGATATCTTGCGCAAGTAGAAATATTGACCAGGCCTAGGGAGTAAACGGCTGTAAGACAAGGGCTCTTTCTGTGTCTGCTGCCTCTGTTTGGTGCTCATCACATTGTGGCTGTCCGACATGTGTTTGTGCGTACACACAGTGCGTATGCATTCCACAGCAGCCGGGAGTCCTCCCTGAGCAGACGATTCTAAGGCACCACTTCCCTCCGCACCCACCGTTTCATGGACTCGCCTTTGGAACAGCCCAGAGGGCCGCGGGACCAGGGTGTGCTGATGGGGCCTCTCTCACTTGGGCTGCTCAGCTCCTTTCTCATGCGTCTGTCACACGTGCCGCGTGTGATGCCATATTGAATAGATGGGCTCTATTTTTGTCCTCCTTTCTAATCGTGGGCTCTTCATCTTAAGAAATCGTTTCGGCCGGGCACCATGGCTCACGGCTGTAATCCCAGCACTTTGGGAGGCCGAGGCCAGCTGATCATGAGGTCAGGAGATCGAGACCATCCTGGCTAACACGGTGAAACT